>NC_000009.12:33040303-33191818 GCF_000001405.40 Homo sapiens | reverse complement strand
GCCTCGGCCTCCCAAAGTGCTGGGATTACAGGTGTGAGCCACCATGCCCGGCAGTAACGTCTGTTTTCTTGTTGCATGTATTTGCATGTACGGCGTTTATTTTTGCTTTCTATTTTTTCCTATCCTTTTACTTTTGATCTTTCTGAGAAACACTGTTTTAGATGTATCTCTTGCACATGACACTAATTGCATTTTATTTTGTGACTCCAGGAGTTGTTTCTAAAAAGTAAGATTACTGGGTCAAAAATAAAGAAAGCTTTTGTAGCTCTTAACCCTCATGACCAAATAAATTGTTTTTCACAGGTTGGACCACTTTAGCTTGTCACCAGCCATTTAGAAGCAAGCCATTTCCCCACCCCTGCCAGCACGACTATTATAGTCCTGCTTAAATTTTTAATAGGTTAAAATGGGACCTCACTGTTCTTTTATTTGCTTTCCTTGGCTTCATCAAATTTTACTTTAAGTAAGTTAAGATGGAAGAAGGATGGAGAAGTCAGCACGAAATGTCCCTTTTCAGATCTCTGCCATGAGATTGATGGGTGGTGGGGTTTCTTATTCCTGATTCCCCTGGTGACACTGAATCAATCACTTCCCACAGGCTCCTCAGCCCAGCCCTTGGCTGTTCCCAGGAGAATTATCTTTGTCCCTTCCTCGAATCTCTGCACCTTGCTTTTTTCCCTCCCGTGGTGAATAGGCACTATAACACAACAGGAAGATACAGGGGAAGATCAATTGAATGAATTTAGATCCGAACTCCATCTCTGCTAACCATTTATTAGCTAGCTATTTATCAACTCTAGCCATTTGGCCAGGCGCGATGGCTCACGCCTGTAATCCCAGCACTTTGGGAGGCCAAGGTGGGTGGATCACCTGAGGTCAGGAGTTCAAGACCAGCCTAGCCAACATGGGGAAACCCCATCACTACTAAAAATACAACAGTTAGCTGGGTGTGGTGGCGCATGCCTGTAATCCCAGCTACTTGGGAGGCTGAGGCAGGAGAATGGCTTGAACCCGGGAGGCAGAGGTTGCAGTGAGCTGAGATCGCACCATTGCACTCCAGCCTGGGTGACAGAGCAAGACTCCATCTCAAAAAAAAAAGTTCTAGCCATTTATTAATTGGGTGATCTATGGCAGTTGCTTAACCCTCTCTGTGCCTTGGTTTTCTAAGGTAATAATTCCCAAGGATAATAAAGATTACAACAGTAATACCTATTGGAGTTTTGCAAGGTAATTAACATACGTAAAAGACAGGAGCCTCTGGAAATTGCTCCTTTTCCCACTCCAATAATGAGGTTTTGTTGGAAGGTATTTCCTTCTTACATGACCCTGCTTCTTTATCTACTGTTCTTGGTCCTAGGCCAGGGACAGGTCCCTGACACAAGGAGACTCAATCAGAGTCTTTTCCTGGGACCTTTGTCATTGGGACTTGAGAAAGAAAGCCTTTGGTGCCTCTTGGGTGGAAGCTCTCAAATGTGAGACCCAGGCTACTGGCAGCCGTGTTTCCAGCCTTGAGGAAGCCAGGCTGCCAGAATGAGGCTAATGGGTGGAGAGAGAAGCAGATGCTAGAGTCTGGTATTGTTGGAATCCCTGGTTCCGGCTACCCCCAAATGCATCCTATGAGCCAGCCAATAAATATCTGATTTTCCCTAAGCTTGCTTGTGTTGAGTTTCTATTCACTTGCAACCAAAAAAGAGCTTTAGCTGGGTGCAATGGCATGTGCCTGAACTCCAGCTACTTGGGAGGCTGAAGTGGGAGGATTGCTTTAGCCCAGAAGTTCGAATCCAGCCTGGACAACATAGTGAGACCGCCTGTCTCATGTAAAAAAAAAAAAAGAAGAGTTTTAATATACCTCTCAAGACATCTTAGGATAGTAAATCATGAAGTCTCCTGTCTGTCTGTCCAGGTCTCTCTGAAAAGCCAAACACTCTGTGCAAGTCCGTCTCTGAGACACACATACACATGCATGCACACACAAATAGAATGACAGCAGCTCCCACTCCAACTGGAGGGAGCTGTGGCTCCTTCTCTGCCTGGGCTGCCTGCACATGCCTATACTTCTCCACACACACCAAAAGACAGCTGTGTCAATGCCCAGGCCACGGGAACTCCACTTGCTAAACAGAATGTTATCCCGGAAATCTGTGCCCTTCTCTGTATGCCTCTTGTCCTTTTTTCACTGCCCTATTCAGTAACTTCACAAATATATAATGAGCACCTGCCAAGAACCATGTCAGGCCTGGGGCAACAAACAGCCCCTGCTGTCAAGGAACCCGCAGGCTTGTGGGGCCGTCATGCTATCAAAAGGCAGCTCCAAGAGAGACAGTGGGATGAGTGTCAAACAGATGTTTCAGCCAAGTATGGCAGGAGCTCAGAGGAGGCCTCATCACTTGTTGCCTGGGACAGACGTCTGGCTGGTCTGCCCACCTCCCACCCCAGCCCTCCCTGTGCGCTGCTGCCAGAATGTCTTCCTGAACACAGCTATGTAAGTCCCTCTCCCTCTGCAAGCCTGAGCCCGCATTCCTTAGCTTGACAAAATCCTAATCCAGATATTGCTTCAACCTATTTTTTCAGCCACACCATCCGCTGTTCTCCATTCACAAACCTCACCCACAAGTCTAAAGAGTAAAAAGTAAAAGGATCAGTTTGCAAAAATCCACTATAGATGTACAGATTGGGTGTGTGTGTAGGGGAAACAGCACACTTGGGATGCATTTGCAGACCTTGTTCCAGATTCAGGTCTAACGTCACCCCCATCCCCAGGAAACCTTCCTTGCTTCTCCAAGTGAAATTAACCTCTTCCTTTTCTGAATCTATATAACCCTCTCTGTACACCTCTGTTAGAGCACAGATTGCTCCTATCTTTTTAGGAGTGCACATATTTTTTAACTGCTTGTGGAGACAGATGGTGTCCTATGGAGTATGGTACAAAGTAGGGATTCAAAAGCTGTTTGCTGACTATTTGGAACCATGTGAAACACCATTTGCCATTCATCAGATGGACTCTGGCTGCTGAAGTGCCCAAGTTCCTGTCATGAGCTGGCTTTACCTACTCCTTTGCACTCCAAGGATGATGTTTTCACTCCTGAGCTGATCTCCTGTATTGTTACCTCTGTCTGATCTGTCATTTGTCATCTTCTTGTGAACCTGTGGCCACTGAAGTTTGAATTCCCAGCCTCTCTCATTTATTCCTTTATTCAGGAAACCATTATTGATGCCTCATTGGTGGCCAGTTCAATGCTCACTATCAGGAACACAAGGATGGTGTCCTGCCCTGGGATCCCTGACTTGGGAAGGGTAGGGAAGAGGTAGAGGGAAGACAAAGACATGAGTGATGGGATACAAGGAGAAGTGATGTGGCCCGAAGAGAATAGCAGGGAGAGTGCTGAGGGGGTCACAGCAGAAGGCTTGGGTTGGGGAATATGGGCTAGGGAAAGTCGTTGACACACCCACATCCATACCAACTAAATTCTCTCTTCCCCTACACTCCTTAGCGTATTTTAACTGGGCCCTTGATTGCCACAGCTGCAAGCTCTGGCCTCCCAATTCCAGGACCTGTGCTGATGGAGTCAGGAAACATTTGAATAGCCTCGGTACAGCTTATTCTACCGCCCTCCCCAACCCTCCTGCCCATTCTCTCCCATTTCATCCCACACAAACACACAAATCTCAAGAGCTCAACACTAATCCCTCCCAGACCTGGGATCTGGGATGCTACCCACTGGACTCTCTTGAATCACCTCTGCTGCAGTTCATACCCAGGACACTGGGCTCAGGAAACCACTCAGGCTCCTGAGCTGTATGGGGGACCTGCTTTTCCTGTCCCTAGGGCTTGGGGCTCACCACACACATCTGTGATGTCCCTAAATTATTAGAGGGGCTCTAGATCTACTGGCCAATTTGCTAAGGTGCTTTGCCTCTGTCTCTCTGGGTTCCCGGTCCCACCCTAGGCACCTCCTCCACCTTCCTGCGTGCAACCACTCCCCTCAGCAAACGTGTGAGGCTGCCAGACCCTGCTGAAGAGCTGTAGGCCCTGCTGGCAGGAGACAGGCTAGCTCCAGAGAGTTGGCTGGAGGGGAATGCAGCAGATCACATTTCTTCAGCTCATGCCAAATAGTATTCAGATGTAGCTTTTCAGACAGACACAAATTGCTCATCCAATAAACACAGAAGGGCTAATCCCAGAACATTTATCAACGTGGGGAAAGATGAGAGAAAGGACAGTCACAAGAGGCCTTTGAGAGCCGACTCAGTGTGGCTGGCGCAGAGGAGGTGGTGAGACTTCCATGCACTTCTGGGGTTTTCTCCTTAAAGGGCCTGAAACCCAGCACCGGGGCTTTGGGATTTGCTGTCGTTGGGACATACAATGCCCGTATTAGTGTATACACTTCTCTGTGGTGAACAGCAATTAAGAAATCTATGTGGGCCAGGTTGCCTTTGTGAGCAGACAGCCCTCACCCCCATGTGACAATTGTCAGGTGGGAGAGCTGGCTGCAAGGACTTCATCAGCTGCCCCCACTGTGCATGCATAAAATGTGCTCATGCCTCTTCCGTATTTCCAGGGTTCACAGGGGACAGTCCCTCCTGAGCTGGAACTTCTTGCTGACAGGTGTAAGAACATGGGGACCAGAGACGCAGGGTCCTCTGCTCGTATCAGAGTGCTGGCCAAGCAACTGAAGTCCTTTGACAGCCCCTTTCCTGCTAGGCCCTTCTAACTAGCTCCATGAGCTTTCCCCCTCCAGGGATTCAGCCTGGAGATTACAGAAATCGGGCCCTGGTCTAACACCAGAGAGAGGAAGGACTAGGTGAAGCCTCTGCAGGCAGCCTGGGTCCTCCCACTGCCTGTGCAGAAACTGTGCCATACCACTGGCACTCTGATGTGTACCCAACAGAGTGGGAGGTGGGCCATGGGAAGGAGGAGGCAATGACTAGATTAGGGTAAGGTCATGAAAGTAACTGCTGACTTTTATATAGTCAGAATATTTTGAAAATTAAAGCTGAGAGAATAAAACTTTCTATGGGGCCAAACTACAGCCTCAGCTGGCAGGGACTCTGTGGCCCCAGAGCTTGATGGGAACAAGGTGCTTTCTGGCATATGGCTGGTCCTGACACAATCAGGAAGTCGAGGGGAATTCCCAGGCAATACTCCCATGATCCCATGAGGCACATGTGCTATTTTGGATATTACTTTCCAGATAAGACACAGTGAAGTTAGGTAACATGTCCGGGTCACCCAGTTCAAGACTGGGAGGCTTCAGAATCTAATCTGACTCATACTGCACACAGGTCTATGGAGAGATATGGGGGTTTCAGGAATATCCAGTTGTGTGGGACTCCTTAAGAGGGTAGAGTTTGGAGGTCTGGGGTCCTCAGGGTTGGGATGCTGTCTTCAGGGCACAATGCTCAGGCAGTTTCCACTGAGGACCTGGGGTCTCTATAATTAGGGTGACTAACCCTACCAGTTTCCCCAGAACTGAGAGGGTTCTTGAGATTTGGGACTTTTCATTTTATAACTGGGATGGTCCTGGGAAAGGCAGGACAAGTTGGTCGTCTACCTGGAACAAAAGGACTGGGCACAGATCATCGCCATGGACTTCGGGACCCACCTGCAGCTCAGCCAAGCCACACATCCCCAGGCTGGGGACCTGGGGAGTGGCATGCTGATTAGGAAAATGGGCAGAGTGGCAGCCAGCTGGGAACAGCTCCCCCAGACCGCAGGCAGCAGTAAAGCAGGGCTACCGTGGCCCCAGAGCTTGACTGGAACAAGGTGCATTCTGGCATGGCTGATCCTACACAAACAAGAAGGTTGAGGGGAGTTCCCAGGTGAGGAATTCCCGGCAGCCAGGGAGCATGAACCAGGTGGCTTCCACTCTGCCTGCAGGAAGGAAATTTCTTTTCTGGTTCCTGAAACTTCACTCCTATCAGGAATGGCCTCTCTCCTACCTACCCACCTGGGGGACTCACACTGACCTGCATTTCTAGGCTCTTAACCTTCTCTCCCTCTCTGACTTTGTCCTGCTTGTTGTAGAACTGTGTTTATTCATCAGTCTCTTTCTTTTGTTTTTTTGTTTGAGACAGAGTCTCACTCTGTCGCCAGGCTGGACAGTGCAGTGGCCCGATCTCGGCTCACTGCAACCTCCACCTCCCAGGTTCAAGTGATCTTCGTGCCTCAGCTTCCTGAATAGCTGGGACTACAGGCGCCCGCCACTGCTCCAGGCCAATTTCTGTATTTTTAATAGAGACCGGGTTTCACCATGTTAGCCAGTCTGGTCTCGAACTCCTGACCTCGAGTGACCTGCCCATCTCAGTTTCCCAAAGTGCTGGGATTACAGGTGTGAGTCAATGCGCCCAGCCAGTCTCTTTGCTTTTGCAGATCTGAAACTCACTGGTACAACACTTGGACGATTTTTAATATAAGGGGATTGAGTTCTAAGGCACAGAAACCATGGGCAGAAATGCTAATAGGCTTCAGGAAAGACCAGAATGGGGGCAAAGAAGCCTCAGGAATATGGGTATTTCTCTTTCATTTCTATGTCCACTTCTCTGTCTGTGGTCTGTTTCATTCTCTCAGCTTTCTTTGCTTCTCTGTGCATTGGCAGAAGGTGGAATGTTTACATCATCTCAATTCCAGCCACACCCAGGGGCCGACTAGCTTTCCGGAATAGCAAATCTAAATTCTCAGGAGAAATCATCTGATTAGCCCAACTTGGGTCACATGCTCACCCCTGGCCCAGACAGCTGTGGCTGGAGGCTGGGGTCAAGCAGTATCAACATGGCTACCCAGGACCCTTCCTAAAGAGGGGCAAGTTTGTGGAGAAAGGAGTCACCCTGAGCTGGCTAGACATGTTTGCTCTCTATCATATATGTTTCCTGAACTGGTAGGTAACTGTGCCTTCTCTTCCCAGAGTTTATAATATTTCTTTTGTGGCTCCCTGGTGGTTGGCTTGATGTTAGTCTCATTCTGGAATATTTAAAAAATTAATTTGGATAATTGTGGGAAGCTATTTAACAAGCCAGGTCTTAAACAGTGTGGCCCATTATCTCTACCTTATACAGCACCCTATCATTATCTCCTTTGCATGATGGTTTAGAGCGTTGCAGCTCAAAGTGTGATCTGTGGATCAGCAGCATTGGTATTGCCCGAGAGCTTGTTGGAACTCCAGAATGCAGTTCCTAACTACTTGAACAGAGTCTGCATTTTAACAGCTCCCCAGGTGATCCACATTAAAGTTTGGTGAGCACCTGGAGGAGGTTCTTGTCTTTTCTCTCCTATTAGACTGAAAATTCTGAGGGCAGGGACTGTATTTACAAACCTCAATTGTCCACTTCCTATGTGTAAAGTAACTTGCTTTGTCTTGCAGGCGACAGAGCTTATCAAATGCAGTTATGAGCGAATTTTAAGCTCAGGATAGTGGTTGAAGAGGGTAAATTAATTACAGTAGTCCACCCTTATCCTTGGGTATATGTTCTCAGACCCCCAGTGGATGCTGGAAACTGCTGATTGTATTGAACCCTACATACATCCTATGTTTTTGTGTGTGTGTGTGTGTGTGTGTGTGTGTGTGTGTACAAGAGTGACTTTATTTTATTTTGTTTTATTTTTCAAGATTGATGACAATTCTTTTTCTTTTTTATATTTCCTTTTTTATTATTATTATACTTTAAGTTCTGGGATACATGTGCAGGATGTGCAGGTTTGTTACATAGGTATACATGTGCCGTGGTGGTTTGCTGCACTCACCAACCCATCACCTACATTAGGTATTTCTCTAAATGCTATCCCTCCCTTAGCACCCCCAACCCCCAGCAGGCCCCAGCGTGTGATGTTCCCCTCCCTGTGTCCATGTGTTCTCATTGTTCAACTCCCACTTAACAAGTGAGAACATGCGGTGTTTGGTTTTCTGTTCCTGTGTTAGTTTGCTGAGAATGATGGTGTCCAGCTTCATCCATGTCCCTGCAAAGGACATGAACTCATCCTTTTTTATGGCTGCATAGTATTCCATGGTGTATATGTGCCACATTTTCTTTTTTCTTTTATTATTATACTTTAAGTTTTAGGGTACATGTGCACATTGTGCAGGTTAGTTACATATGTATACATGTGCCACGCTGGTGCGCTGCACCCACTAACTTGTCATCTAGCATTGGGTATATCTCCCAATGCTATCCCTCCCCCCTCCCCCCACCCCACAACAGTCCAGAGTGTGATGTTCCCCTTCCTGTATCCATGTGATCTCATTGTTCAATTCCCACCTATGAGTGAGAATATGCGGTGTTTCGTTTTTTGTTCTTGCGATAGTTTACTGAGAATGATGATTTCCAATTTCATCCATGTCCCTACAAAGGACATGAACTCATCATTTTTTATGGCTGCATAGTATTCCATGGTGTATATGTGCCACATTTTCTTAATCCAGTCTATCATTGTTGGACATTTGGGTTGGTTCCAAGTCTTTGCTATTGTGAATAGTGCCGCAATAAACATACGTGTGCATGTGTCTTTATAGCAGCATGATTTATAGTCCTTTGGGTATCATCCTATGTTTTTTTTATTTGATAACCAAAACAGCTACTAATGGGTAGCTATCTAATGAGCAGGCAATATACACAGTATGGATAAGCTGGAAAAAAGGATGATTCATGTCCTGGGTGGGATGGCAAGGGACAGGGCAAGATTTCGTCACACTACTCAGAGCAGTGTGCAATTTAAAACTTATGAATTTTTTATTTCTGAAATTTTCCATTTAATATTTTTAGGCCACGGTTAACCTCCAGTAACTGAGACATCGGAAAGCGATGGATAAGCGGGTACTACTGTACATGTTATCTGAATTTTCCTTTAATCCTGCAGGAGGTGGAGGGAAGTTGGGGGTATAGATGAAATAAACATGGCTAAATGTTGATTTTTTTTTTAAGTGGGGTGATGGGAACTTGGAGACTTACACTATTTTCTCTATTTTTGTATATTTTTAAAATTTTCCACAATAAAAATTATAAGGAATGGCTGAAGACATTGTAAGAGATCATCTCGCTTGTCAAAATAAGTTAGTTTCCTAGCCAAATGAAGTAAATCCAAGGCACTAAGAGAATTTCCAAATGAAATTGCTCAATCCTTGTCAGAGACTTTTGGAGGATGAATATAGCGGGGAGAAGTTTGGAACATTAGTCCTGTGTAAATGATTTTTTAATTTTGCAAAAGGAGGAGTGGTAATCAGTTTCCTTCTGTTACTTCAAATCAGCTTATGGGGGGAAAAAAGGGAGGAGTAATTCACCAGGTTACATAACTGGTCAGTCCAGGGGGAGTCTGATACAGCATACCAGGGCGTAACCCTCTAGCTTCCTTTTTGGCTTATTTCTCAGATAGGCTCTTTCCATATAATGGCTGTAATGAGATGGACAGCGTACCTCCAAAATTCATTTCTATCCGAAACCTCAGAATTGAGCTTATTTGGAAATAGTCTTTGCAGATGCAATTAGTTAAGCCAAGATGGGGTCATACTGGATTAGGGTGAGCCCAAGTCCAATGACTGGTTTCCTTATAAGAGGAGAGGACACATCAACAGGAGAAAATCATAGGCAGAGAGAAGGCCATGTGAAGATGAGGGCAGAGAATAGAATGATGCTGCTACAAGCCAAGGAATGCCAAGGATGGCTGCGAGCCACCAGAAGCTAGAAGAGGCAAGAAAGAATTCTTTCTTAGAGTTTTCAGAAGGAGCGTATCCAGCCTGGGCAACAGAGTGAGACCTTGTCTCCACAAAAAAAAATTTTTTTAAATTAGCTGGGCATGGTGGCATATGCCTGTGGTCCCAGCTACTAGGAAGGGTGACAGAGTGAAACCCTATCTAAAAAAAAAAAAAAAGAAAGAAAAGAAAAAGAAGAAGAAGCCTGTCCCTGCTGACACCTTGATATTTTGGACTTTTAGCCTCCAGAACTGTAAGAGAATCAATTTCTGTTGTTTGAAGCCACCAAGTCTGGATAATTTGTTAGAGGAGTCCTTGGAAACTAATACAGCACCCTTGCTACTCCAGACTGGCCATTCCAGAGGAAAGGAAAAGCCTTTTACTCAACATTTGCAGCAGAAGTCCTGGGAGAAGAAGGGACATTGCTCATTAGTCCTTCTTGGGCCACATGTTGATCCTTGAACAAATCAACTGTGGCCAGAGGGGTATAGTGCTCTGATTGGCCAGATATAAGTCACCCAGGCCATAGCGACCCCGTAGTTAGCCTGTCCCAACCACATAGGGAAGAGTGGGAGTCTCTAACAGAAGGAGTAATGTTGAAGAGGAGGCACAAAAAATCAATACCTGTCCATTACAGGAAGACGTTGATTCTGCAAACTACACTCTTATCTAAGAATAGTTTGTGTGTGTGTGTGTGTGTGTGTGTGTGTGTGTGTGTAAGACAGGGTCTTGCTCTGTTGCCCAGGCTGGAATGCAGTGGTGCAATCACATCTCACTGCCACCTCAACCTCCTGGGCTTAGGCAATCCTCTCACCTCAGCCTCATGAGTAGTTGTGACTACAGACACATACCACCACCACGCCTGGCTAATTTTTTTTATTTTTAATAGAGACAAGGTCTCACTATGTTGCCCAGGCTAATCTTGAACTCCTGGGCTCAAGCAATGCTCCTGCCTCAGCCTCTTGAAGTGCTGAGATTACAGGCGTGAGCCATTGTGCCTGGCCAAGGATAGACTTTTAAAGATGTAAAGGAAGTGGAGATTTCTCAGAACAAGCCAGAGCAAAGACTATCACATTTCTTTTTTTAACAGGTCCCTAAACTGCCAGATCACAGTGCTGCATTTGATAGTCTGTTGGCAAACTGGGTCGGCCTTTAACAATCTATGGCATGTTATTCCTGTGACTAAAAAGGAAAATATGGGTTGGATGATAGTACAATTAAAGGGAAATTGAACTTTTTTAAATGACTGGAATGAACCTTTGCCATTATACTTGTCACTCAACAGGCAATCCCCCATCTTATTTTGGAAAATTTTCCAGTGTATATAGTACTGGAGGGCTCAATGCCCTAGCTCCCACCATGGAGGCAGAAAGGGGAAGATTCGTTCCTCCCCTACCTAGCAGCTAGGGCTCAAGCATGTGAATTGGCTCGGTCATTCCCACTGCAGACTCTGAATTCTTAGGAGTGACGCTAAGAGGCAGGAATGGTGTCGAAATTATTCATGGAGGCAGCAGCAGCATGAACGGTCCTGTAGCAGTGGTGTTAAATAATCATGGGCAATGGTGGCCACGGCAGAGCAGTGTTATAATTGACTGTTTTAATAGTCAAAAACTCTGGTTGGTACATGGACTTTATTTAAAGGATTCAAGTCAACTTATAGGAATGTTTCCACTGTTCCAGGATGCTGCCTTCAGCCCTGTCTTTTAGTTTAACATGAACATAAAAAAGTGAATGTTGTTTCGGAAGACATTGATGAAAGTATGATATTGGAAATTGCGGAGATGATGGTCCTGCTCTATTCTGTTGCTTAGACCCCGGCTGGAATGCTGCATTCAGTTATGGACCCTACTAAATGCCCAGGTAGTCAAAGCCCAATCAAAGACGAATAATCGGGACAGGGAAGGAACTCAATAAGGAAGCATGAAGAACAATGGAAATGGAGCTGGGCATGGTGGTGTGTGCCTGTAATCCTGGCTACTCGGAAGGCTGAGGTGGGAGGATCACTTGAGCCCAGAGTTCAAGACCAGGCTGGGCAACATAGTGAGACCCCATCTCTTAAAAAAAGAGGTAGAATTGATAGGTAGCCTGGTGAGGAGTTGTCTTCAGGTTGGGAGAAGGTACATGGCTGATCTCTTTAAACAACAGAAAGACCATCACGTGGAAAAGGATTCAGTTTATTCTCTGGCTCCAAGGAACAAACTTGATATTACTGAGGAAGTTATAGACATGGATTTTAGCTTAATGCAGATGCTCCTTTACTTACAACGGGCTTCATCCCAATAAACTCATCGTAAGTTGAAAATATTGTAAGTTGAAAATGCACTTAACATATCTAAGCTCCCAAAGATCACAGTTTAGCCTAGCCTTCCTCAAATATTCTCAGAACATTTACATTAACCTATAGTTGGGCAAAAGCATCTAACACAAAGCCTATTTTAAAAATAGAAGGTTGGTCTTCATATGTTGCTAGCCTGGAAAAGATCAAAATTCAAAATTTGAAATACAGTTTCTATGGAATGCATATTGCTTTTGCACCACTGTAAAATCAAAAAGTTGTAAGTCTAACAGTAAGTCAGGGACTGTTTGTATAAGAAGGCTTAATAGTTGGTTCAGTGATAGCCACAAGGGAGCAGGCTGCCTCATGACATAGCGAGCTCCCTGTCACTGGAGGTGTGCACACAAAGCCAAGAGAACTCTCAGAGAGTGTATGGTGTGTGGAAATCCTCACTGGATGAAGTTAGGGTCGATGTCCTTCCATATTCTCTCTGATGCTGAAATCTGATGAAGTCCATAGCGCAGGTTGGGAAGAACAGGAAACTGGAGGAAAAGAGACCAGATTTATTACAAATTGTGAGCTGTTCTGGAGTACAATTCCCAGCCACCATTCTAGCTCCAGAAAAAGAAAAATTCATGGAGGGTTGCATTATTCCCAATTCTTCACCACTCCCTATATCCAGTCCCTTTGTCATGTGACTTTGAAGTTTCTCCCACTAGAGGCAGAATATGATAATGTTGGGTTGGCCAATCAACTTGTTTTGGCTCATAGAATGTGGGTGGAAGTGACCATTCCAACCACAGGCTTTATGAGATATTGGGGCTTTTTGTTCACCCATCTTGTGCCATGTGAAAAACATGCCCTTGGTGGGCATCACAGAAGAAATAGAGACACATGCCATAGACTAACCTAGCCAACCTGCAGAGCTACTACATCCTTAAGCAGAGCTGTCCCCGCCAATCCATGGACACCTGAGAGAGAAATACATGCTTTATTATTGTATGGCACTTCAATTTGGTCGTTATTTGCTAAGCAGCATTATTATGGCAATAACTAATTAGCAATTAGTTATGGGATATTCCAACAATTTTAAGATACAGCAATTGAAGGCAGTTGCCAGGCTTCTGTTGGCCTTTCTAGGATCTGAGAAAGCAGCACTTGAGGCAAATAACCTATCCCAACAGACTGTAGACATATCCTGTCTTGGGTATAGATGTTGCTGGAAATGGATGACCAAAGTCACTGAGCAGGGCCTGGACCCAGTGCCATGGCACCTGTGTACAGGTTGGGATAAAGGGGTGAGAGGAGGAAGCAGACCCACTTCGGGTCATGAGAACAAGTATAGTTGAGCACTCAGAACAAAATATAGATGGTAATAGCATCCTGACACGCAGTTTATTTGTGTTGTGACAGATTGAAGATGGCCACAAATTCTTTCCTACATCTCTTATCAATTTGTGAAGTCTATTTCCTCTCCCCTTGAATCTAGGTTAGTCCTGTGACTTATGTGGACCAATAGAATGTAGCTATGTATCACTGTATAACTTCTGAGCCTTGGCCTGAAGAGATCTTCTGGGCCAGGCACAATGGCTCACGCCTGTAATCCCAGCACTTTGGGAGGCTGAGGTGGGTAGAAAGCTTGACCCCAGGAGTTTGAGACCAGCCTGGGCAACATGGCAAAACCCCATATCTACTAAAAATACAAAAATTAGCTGGGAATGGTGGCGCACACCTGTAGTTCCAACTACTCGGGAGGCTGAGTTGGGAGGATCACCTGAGCCCAAGAGGTGGAGGTTGCAGTGAGCCAAGATCACACACCAGTACACTCCAGCCTGGGTAACAGAGCAAGACCCTGTCTCAAAAAAAAAAAAAAAAAAAAAGTCTTCTGTTTCCTCCTATGCATTCAGAATGCTCCTTCTGAGAACCCAGCTGCAATGCTATGAAGAGGCCCAAGCAACTCTGTGGGGGCCCACCTGGAGGAGGAGAAGTGAGACACCTGGCTAACAGTTCCAGCTGAGCTCCCAGTTGGCAACTAGCACCAACTTCCAGCCATGTGAGTAAGGTCATTTGTACCTCCAGACATTCTACCACCCCACTCAACACTCTGTGAAGCAGAAAACCACTGGGTTAATGGTTAATGCACATAACTGTAAGAAATAATAAATTGTTGTTTTAAGAGATTCATTTTGGGTAGTTTTTTTTGTTTGTTTGTTTTGCATAGCAATAAATCAGGCATTGGCAAACTTTCTGTAAAAGATCAGATAGTCAATATTTTAGGTCTTGCAGGCCAGATGATCTCTGTTGCTACTACTTAACTTTGCCATCATAGTATGAAAACAACCATAGAAAATACACAAACAAAAGAACATGGCCGAGTTCTAATACATTTTCACTTACCAAAACAGACGGTGGGCTAGGTTTGGCCATGGAAACTAGTTTCCCAACCCCTGCAATAGATAATTAAAACAAATTAACACCCAGAAGTGGGGAGCTTCCATAACAAAAATCTAAAACATATAACATTGACTTTGGAATAAGGAAGCTTGCGGAGTCCTGAAGGGTAGGAAGGAGGATGACAACACAGCGAGGAAGTTGTTGGGAAATTATTCAGGACCTAAGTGACATAGTAGTAACATGTAGTAACATGGATAAGAGAAAATAATTGAACTTGCCGCCTTGGTATGGAGATTTCTAGGCAAAATGTTCAAAATGCCAACTTACTCCCTTTGGCTGCCTGTGAAAAAGTACAGGAAGAAGAAACTATTTTGTTTCAAGCAAAATTTTGAGAAACTATAGAGGGCCCAGGGCATTATATACAGCCAGAAAAAAGAAATGCTCAAAGTAAATTAAAACCTAGAGGGAATATTAATTCTAAGACCTTCCCCGTAAAATGGGGCCTTAAGGTCACGGATGTGGCTGTAAGACTTTTTTGTTGCCGTTTCTCAAATGTTATATTAGTTATTTTTTGTACTCTATTAGTATATTATTGGCATATAGTAATATATGGGTAGCAATTTAAAAAAAAATGTTAGATTTGGGGGTACGTGTACAGGTTTGTTATATGAGTATATTGCATGATGCTGAGGTTTGGGCTTCTAATGATCCTATCACCCAGCAGGTAGTACCTGATGGGCAGTTTTTCAACTCTTGTCCCTCCACCTCTGCTGGAGTCCCCAGTGTCTACTGTTCCCACCTTTGTGCCGAGTGTACTCAATGTCTAGCTCCCACTTATCGGTGAGAACATGTGGTACTTGGTTTTCTGTTCCTGCATTAATTTGCTTAGGATAATGGCCTCCAGCTGCATCTATGTTGCTGCAAAGGACATAATTTTGTTCTTTTCTATGGTTGTAAGACTGTTGAGATCTCAGAAAGCCTTAAAACAGCGCCTCCTAAACCTCTCATGTAGACTAAAGTGCTTCTAAGAGTCTTAAAGTTTTGGTTCACAGCACTGTAATTCACAGCCTAAAGGAGGGAAGGGCTTATCTTGAGATTTGGGGGTATGGTTTGAGTAAAAATAAAATTAACGGAAAGTCCACAGTTTTTTCCCCTACAAGAATTGTACCAGTGTAAGCAGTAGTGGCTTGAGCTAAAACAGACAAAGATAGTTCAACATGAAAAGAGCACACCGGGTACCCAGTGAAGCATCTTGAACAAGTTACCGGACTGTGAACAAAGCCTATTTCTTTTGGAAAAGGAGGAATGACTCAAAGGATGGAGCCAAGAGCTCCATCCAAGGGTAGAGATAAGAGCCACAGAGAATCACATTCCCTGCCCCTGGAGCAGGGGGAGCTGGTGACAAGTGCATGGTTAGTTCTCACATTTGCTAATGGCTGTTATGTGCCTCTTATTAATCTCCTATTCTAAATGGGAGTGTCTATTGTGGTTTTCTTGTCCTTGTATTTCCATTATATGTTAGACGTGTGGGGGAAAAGTCACTTAAGTAAAAGTTGCGAGTTTAGTACAAATAATTTGTTTAGACTACAGTCATACGTTGCTTAATCATGGGGATTCTTTCTGAGAAATGTGTCGATAGTCAATTTTGTTATTGTGCAAACATCAAAGAGTGAGTCTAAATCCAGATGGTACAGCCCACTACACATCTAGGTTATATGGTATGGCCTATTGCTCCTAGGCTACAAACCTGCACAACATGTTACTGTACTGAATACTGTAGGCAATTATAACACAATGATAAGTGTATAACTAAATATATCTAAACATAGAAAAGGTACAGTAATAATACACTGTAAAATATAAAAAATAGTATACATGTACAGGGCAGCTTTATTATAATCTTATGGACCCATCATCCTATATGCTGTCCATTGTTGACTGAAATGTTGTTACGTGGCACATCATGGTATTTGAGAGTAAATTTCCGATATGATGCCCTATTACTCCAAAACCCTTTTGTGTATATTTCCAGTGTAACCACAATATAATCATCAAAACAGGAAGTTAACATGGCTACATTATTATCATTTTATGCTTAGTCCCCATCCAAGTTTCACTGGTCATCCCAATAATATTCTTTTTTTTAATTTTTAATTTTTTTAGTGACAGGGTCTTACTGTCATTCAGGCTGGAGTACAGTGGCTTGATCATAGCTTACTATAACTTCAAACTCCTGGGCTCAAATGATCCCCTGCCTCAGCCTTCCAAGTAGCTAGGACTACAGGTATGCACCACCATGTCCAGATAATTTTTAAAATTTTTCATAGAGACAGGGGTCTTGCTATGTTACCCAGGCTAGTATCAAACTTCTGGCCTCAAGCAGCCTTCCTGCCTTGGCCTCCCAAAGTGCTGGGATTATAGGCATGAGCCACCACACTAGGCCTCCAATTTTATATATATATATATATATATATATATATATTTTTTTTTTTTTTTTTTTTTTTTTTTTTTTTTAAGACAGAGTCTTGCTCTGTCGCCCAGGCTATAGAGTGCAGTGGCGTGATCTTGGCTCACTGCAACCTCTACCTCCCAGGTTCAAGCGATTCTCCTGCCTCAGCTTCCCAAGTAGCTGGGATTACAGGTGCACACCACCATGCCCAGCTAATTTTTGTATTTTTACTAGAGACGGGGTTTCACCATATTGTCCAGGCTGGTCTTGAACTCCTGGCCTCAAGTGATCTGCCTGTCTTGGCCTCCCAAAGTGTTGGGATTTACAGGCATGAGCCACTGCTTCTGGCCCCCAATAAGATATACATGTAATTTTGAGACGGAGTCTCACTCTGTCACCCAGGCTGGAGGGCAGTGGCACGATCTCCGCTCACCGCAACCTCCACCTCCCAGGTTTAAGCGATTCTCCTGCCTCAGCCTCCTGAGTAGCTGGGATTACAGGCATGTGCCACCATGCCCAGCTAATTTTTGTATTTTCAGTAGAGATGGGGTTTCGCCGTGTTGGCCAGGCTGGTCTTGAACCCCTAACCTCAGGTGATCTGCCTGCCTCAGCCTCCCAAAGTGCTAGGATTACAGATGTGAGCCACCATGCCCAGAGAATATTCTTTATAATAGGAGGATCCACTTTAGAATCACATGTTGCATTGTTTTTTTCCTTCAGTTTTTCATTTTTCCAAAAATTACACCAAGCTAAAGCAAAGCTCTAGTTGAGGTGGGTGTGTTGTGTAGACGTTAGCAGTACTGCCCTCACTACATGCTCTTTGGACAGTAGTGCAACCCCAAGAAAAGGATGGTTAGTTATTTCTCTTTATTTTCCTTCAATTGTGATGAGAACATTTTCTTGACATTCTGGAAGATTTCAGGATGGTTATTTTCTAGAATGTCTCACAATTTGGATTTCTCTAATGTTTCCCATTAAAATTGTTAGCATTTCTTAAGGCAGTATTTGAAATTAGGTAAATATATTGCTACTCATCAAATTCCATTTATTTATATCATTATGGACTCATAGTTTATTTTGTTCAACTGGTAATAGTTTCTATCAATATTTATTTTCATTCTCAAATTTTTCCATATTTGGCCAATGGGAGCCCCTTCAAACTGATTTCTGTGTCTTTTTGACATAATCTTATCATTCTTTGAGTTCTTCCTCACTTTCTGACACAAGAGTTTCCAGGTTCATCTTGTAATATTCCTAGCCAGTCCCTGGAATCAGCAATCAGCCTTTTCTCCAAGAATACCTAGGTCCTTTTATTGGAGAATGGTGTTTAGAAACCAAGACTTGGCTGCTAGATGTGCTCATGGCCTTGGGAAATTTCTGCTCCCAGACAATACACACACACACACACACACACACACACACACACACACACCATTCTTATTTCATCTATCACTATATTGAAAATAATGAATTCACACCAATTTCTCAAATTTAAATAATGTATCAAAGGATTCATTTTAGTTTTCTCCCTGTCTATATTTGTAACTCCTCTGACTGTCAGAAACTTGGGTAACTCTCATCTATATATAGTTGCTTTTTTTTTTTTTGCTTTTTTTTTTGAGACGGAGTCTCGTTCTGTAGACCAGGCTGGAGTGCAATGGCCCGATCACGGCTCACTGCAACCTCTGCCTCCCAGGTTCAAGTGATTCTCCTGCCTCAGCCTCCCGAGTAGCTGTGGATTACAGGCATGTGCCACTAAGCCCAGCTACTTTTTGTATTTTTGGTAGAGATGGGGTTTCAACACGTTGGCCAGGCTGGTCTCTAACTGCTGACCTCAGGTGATCTGCCCGCCTTGGACTCCCAAAGTGCTGGGTTTACAGGCGTGAGCCACCATGCCCGACCATATGGTTACTTTTTAATCAGTGTTGCTGTGTTCAACACTCTCTTCATCACATCTTGGCTTCAACACCCTGTACTCGGTTGCCCTACTTCACAGGAGACTTCCTACCATGCTCAGGTCCTGAGGCCCTTTTTGCTCTCCTGGGCTTTGACCCTCTTTGCTGGGCTGCTATCCTCCCCACCCCCACCCTTACCCCTCCCTATCCTGGTTGGGCTTTGACACCCTGTCTATGCTGTTTGGACTCTTATGTTGCTCAACCCTACCTAGTGACTTTTTAACTGAATTTCTCAGGAAAAGGGAGAAAAAAAAAAGGAATGAGGTAATTTGTCTTTATAATCCACAGGTCCCTCTTTTATCTTTATTTTTTAGAGATGTTACCCAGGCTGGTCTCAGACTCTTGGGCTCAAGTGGTCCTCCCACCTCAACCTTCCAAAGCACTGGGATTAAAGGCGTGAGCCACTGCACCCAGCTATCCGTATCTCCCATCCCTGAACCTGAGGAATATACCTGTGAAACTGTGTCCCAAAGAGTTAAAGAAAACAATGACTAACAGAAATTCCTGAGTTTGCAGGATGGCAGATAAGAAAAGAAACAATGTGCTGAAATGCCAAAACTCCCTCTGCTTGAGATAAAAGAACTGGCTGAAATCAGTTGGAACAAACAGGGCAACTGGGCTGTTCACAGAAAGAGCTTTCTGGTGTCACAACCCAAATTTCCACCACGTTTCATTCTAAATCCCCCTGAATTGCACATGTGACCAGTGAAGAGGCATGAAGAAATAATTGTGCATGACTGAGGACTTTCCAGACCTCCCCTTTCCTTCCACCAGTTACTTACTAATCTCAGAATCCACCCCCCAAAATTTTTCTGATAAAAACACTACCTTAAAGCCAGCCCAGGGAGACTTGAGCCAGCCCAGGGAGACCTAAAGTCACCACAGGGAGATTTCAGCTGGACTCTTCTATCTCCTTGTTGGCCTACCTGCAGTACAAAGCTTTTCTTTTCTCAAAAACCAGGTGTCACAGTATTGGTTTCTAGAACATTGGGCAGTGAGTGCTTTTGCGCTTTGGTCGGTAACACCTGGATCTGATTTAGACAATACTTTGGACCTGAAGTCTTAATTAGTTGAACTTTTGGGGGATTTTAAGAAGACACTAATGTATTTTACCTGTGAGAAGAATCTAAATAATCTGTGGCCATTGGGCAAACTACTGTGGAATAAAGGTGCCTGACAATTCTTTGTCCCTCCTCCCATCAAGAGGTGGAGTCAGCCAGGTGAAATGGCTCATGCTGGTAATCTCAGCACTTTGGGAGGCCAAAGCAGGAAGACTGCGTGAGCTCAGGAGTTCGAGACTAGCCTGAGCAATATCGCAACATCTCATCTCTACTAAAAATTTTAAAATTAGCTGGACGTGGAGGCGCATCCCGGTAGTCCCAGCTACTCGGGAGGCTGAGGCAGGAGAATCACTTGAGCCCAGGAGTTTGACGTTATAGTGACCTATGATCACACCACTGCACTACAGGCTGGTTGATAAAGGAAGATCCTGTCTAAAAAAAAAAGTAAAAACAAGAGGCCGAGCCAGTTTTATTCCCCTTGAATCTGGCCTGCCCTATAAACTTGTTTTAAGCAAAAGAATGCTTTAGAAGTGATGCTAAGGCTGGGCTTTCAGGGATCTCCATCTTCTGTATTTTTGAAATGCTCCTTTTTGGAATGCTTCCTCTAGTTTGTGAGGAAACCCAAGCAGCCACATGGAGAGTCCTTTGTGGAGAGATCCAAGTGGAGAATGAAGGCCCCATGACCCAACCCATTCTGAGTTTCCAGCCCCCAGACAGCCCCAACTGCCATTCACATGAGTGAAGCCATTTTGGAACTTCCAACTGTGCCAGTGCCTCAGCTGACACCATGTGAGGCAAAGCTGCCCAGCCAACTGCAAAACTGCGAGAAATTGTTGCTTCAAAACAGTAAGTTTTGGGGTAGGTGTTACGCTGCAATAGATGACTGAAATAACTGTCTACCATGTGCCGGGCACTATTTGATGCCCTTCTGATCCATGAGGGTAAAAACAGAAATGTAACCTGGCAGGTGCAGAAGAGGGCGCCATAGGAGGGCAGAGGAAGGCCAGCTGCAGGGAGAAGCAGGGAGCTGGTGATTCTGGGCAGATGAGCACATGGATGGGCCAACGGCCAAGCCCCCATGCCAGCTTTTGGCCAATCAGCACTGCAACTTCCTCCTGCATTTGTCTCGCCGGATGGGATTAATTTTTCACCTGACGAAGTAGAGAGTGGAAAAGAGCTGGAGACAGTGGGGAGAAAGGTTGCCTGGGTCTGTCTCACTAGCACCAGTTAATGTCTGGACTGCTGGACAATGTTGTCCCAAAGGTTTCTGGGCCATCTGTATTATTTGTAATTGACTGCTTCTAGGTGCCTGTGGATCAGGGGCAGCTGAGACTAGTGCTCAGGCCTCAGTGGACTCTGCAAGTTCCTGAGGGATAGGCAATCAGCAAGTGTTGTTCCTTTTCCTCGATTTCTGGCCACGTGTGTCCTGGGACAGGTCTGTGATTCTTAATAACCCCCGCAGTCCTGTCTCCTGGCTATCATCTATACCAATGGAAGACACATCCCCATTTCCCCCTCCACTTAATTTTCAGTTGCAGGACTAATCTGACCCACCCTCACTCATTGGCCAGGCCGACTTTACCCCTAGACACAGGATGCTGGGGTCAGCTTCACCTTTACCAACTCCTTGGAGAACTCCACTTTACGTTCTAAACTAAGTTAGCAATAATTTTTCCCTTCTCTCCTTCCCACATCATTAAGATGATCACAGTATTTAAAAAGTATTTTAACAAATATCGGCCGGGCACGGTGGCTCACAACTGTAATCCCAGCACTTTGGGAGGCCGAGGCAGGCAGATCACGAGGTCAAAAGATTGAGACCATTCTGGATAACACGGTGAAACCCCATCTCTACTAAAAATACAAACAAATTAGCCGGGCATGGTGGCAGGCACCTGTAGTCCCAGCTACTTGGGAGGCTGAGGCAGGAGAATGGCGTGAACCCAGGAGGCAGAGCTTGCAGTGAGCCAAGATCACGCCACTGCACTCCAGCCTGGGTGACAGAGTGAGACTCCGTCTCAAAAAAAAAAAAAAAAAAATCTAGGGGCTGAAGATACAGTAGTGAACAAGAGAGAAATTTCCTGTTCTCATGAAGCTGATTTTCTAATGAGGGAGGCAAGACAACAGAAAATAAATGCATAATGTTGGGTAGTTGATATCCACTCTGAAAAAAATCAAGCAGGTTAAGGCCGGGCGCGGTGGCTCACGCCTGTAATCCCAGCACTTTGGGAGGCCGAGGCGGGCGGATCACCTGAGGTCAGGAGTTTGAAACCAGCCTGGCCAACATGGTGAAATCCGTCTCTACTAAAAACACAAAAAATTAGCCCGGCGTGATGGCAGGCACCTGTAATCCCAGCTACTCAAGAGGCTGAGGCAGGAGAATCGCTTGAACCCGGGAGGCAGAGGTTGCAGTGAGGTGAGATTGCACCATTGCACTCCAACCTGGGGGACAAAAGCAAGACTTTGTCTCAAAAAAAAAAAAAAAAAAATTCAAGCAGTTTAAGCAGATTTGGGCAGGAGGCCATTCTGCATAAGGTAGTCTGAAAAGGTCTCTGTCATAAGGTGACATTTAAGAGACCTGAATTGAATGAAATATTGGGGACAAGTGTTTCAGGCTAAATGAACAGCAAGTACAAAGGCCCTGAGGCAGGAAGAAATATGGCAAGTTCAAGGAATAGCTATCAGGCTAGTGTGGCTAAGGCAGGTCCAGCATGGTAGAGTGACAGATGTGGGTGGGGAGGGAAATAGGAACCAGATTGAACAGGGTTTCTGTGGATTTGGTTCTGAACAAAATGGCATGATCTGATTTATGCTTACAAAGATTTCCTGGATGCTCTGTGGAAAACAGACTAGGGAGGAGGAATGGAGGAGGTGGAAGCAGGGTGACCAATTAGTAGCTGCCATATAACCCAGGGCAAGATGATGGTGGCTTGATCGAGGATGGTTACATCAGAGTTGGCTGGTGGTGAATTTTGATGTTTTGAAGGTAGCACTGACAAAGCTGGCTGAGGGCTTGCAAATGGCATTGAGAGCAAGAGAAGCACATCAAGGACACCTTTTAGATTCTGGGGAACTGAATAAACAATAGTATCACTCTCTGAGGGAGGTAAGAACGGGAGTGGTGTGTAAGGAGTAGGTTGCTGAGGGCAAGATGTATTGTGTTTGAGATGCCAGTAAAATAAGCAGTTGAATCTGGAGGTCAGGGAAGAGATCTGGGCTGGAGACAAATCAGTGATCAGCATTTGGATATTATAAATCATTCCGAGGCAGTAAGTGTAGACACAAAAGAACATCATGGACTATGGCTGGGGCCTTCAGCAACTGGGGAAGAAGTCCAGAGAGGAGACAGAAATGGCCAGTGAAGTGAGGAAGATCAGAAGGACCTGGTGTCCAGGAAGTCAAGTGAGGAAAGTTGATTCTGTATGATCACAACCAAAGTGTCAACTCATAAGCCTTATTTTCTCATCTGTGAAATGGACACCGTAACACCACCTACTTCATGGCAGATAGTACTGGCACACAGCAAACTCTCAAAATAAGGTAGCTACTGTTATTCCCTGATGGTTGGCTGCCAGAGCCCTCAACTTCCCTATCCACATTACTGACAGCACCTCCATGAGTCTTTCTCTGGGGTGAGGTGTCTCTGCTCACTCAGGGCCTGAGGCCTCTGGGTCAAATCGAGGTCAAGTGGCTTCAGTGCCTAAGTCTCTCACCCACACAGCCTTCAGCCCTTACTTGCAAATCAACAAAGGGTAAACCTGTAGAAAACATGGGTTTCGGAGCCAGAATTCTGCCTCTTGCCAGCTGTGGGCTCTTAGGAAAGTTTCTTAATCTGCCGGGGCCCCACTCTACGACATGGGGAGAACTGCTACTTCATGGGACAGTGGGTAGCCCAGTGTAGACTGTAACGCCGGCTGATCTCCTGCACGCTGGCCTGGGAGTTAGAGGCTTCTTGCTGCTCTCCTCTTCAAAGTATACAGGACTCCCGCCACACACACATCTGGAACCAAGCTGGTCTGAGAGCCCCTTATAGCCCAGGCTACCTGATGGGGAGGCACAGAAGTGGCAACCCGTCCACTTTCTTTGCCGCAGGACCCCCCGTTAAGCAGCGGGGTCCAGCCGGGCTGAGTTAGGGAGGGGGTTTCGAACGTGCCACTCCTCGCCCGGCGTCGAAGCCCGTTTCCTGGGTAACCTTTTTCTGCCTCTCTTCCTAGCCCACCAAGGCCCACTGGCCAGAACGCCGCCGCGGCCCCAAACCACTCCAGATAACCACCCGCCAGCTGTCCTCTCCGTTCTCTCCGCCGCCGCGCTGCAGGCCCAGGCTCGCACCCGAGTCCCTTCGCACCCCAGGAAGTGGCGCGGCCTGTCGAGGGCAGCGTGGAGGAGGAAGAGGAGGCGCGGCTCAACGCGACCGAAGCTCCGCCGCAAAGGCTCGGGAGGAAGAGGGCGGTGCGCGGCCAAGCGTCGGAGCTGCAGTCATACTCCGGGGACCCCACGACGGCGCCCCGCCCGCTGCCCACCCTCCCGAGGCCCCGCCCAGCGCGCCCATCCCGCCACGGGCTGCCCCGCCTTCCCGCCCTCGTCCAGAAAACCCCGCGCCCGGCCCCGCCCCCGCCTTCGCCGGGGCCCCGCCCCTCCCCTCTCCGCCGGCGCCTCGGGCGGCTTCTCGCCGCTCCCAGGTCTGGCTGGCTGGAGGAGTCTCAGCTCTCAGCCGCTCGCCCGCCCCCGCTCCGGGCCCTCCCCTAGTCGCCGCTGTGGGGCAGCGCCTGGCGGGCGGCCCGCGGGCGGGTCGCCTCCCCTCCTGTAGCCCACACCCTTCTTAAAGCGGCGGCGGGAAGATGAGGCTTCGGGAGCCGCTCCTGAGCGGCAGCGCCGCGATGCCAGGCGCGTCCCTACAGCGGGCCTGCCGCCTGCTCGTGGCCGTCTGCGCTCTGCACCTTGGCGTCACCCTCGTTTACTACCTGGCTGGCCGCGACCTGAGCCGCCTGCCCCAACTGGTCGGAGTCTCCACACCGCTGCAGGGCGGCTCGAACAGTGCCGCCGCCATCGGGCAGTCCTCCGGGGAGCTCCGGACCGGAGGGGCCCGGCCGCCGCCTCCTCTAGGCGCCTCCTCCCAGCCGCGCCCGGGTGGCGACTCCAGCCCAGTCGTGGATTCTGGCCCTGGCCCCGCTAGCAACTTGACCTCGGTCCCAGTGCCCCACACCACCGCACTGTCGCTGCCCGCCTGCCCTGAGGAGTCCCCGCTGCTTGGTAAGGACTCGGGTCGGCGCCAGTCGGAGGATTGGGACCCCCCCGGATTTCCCCGACAGGGTCCCCCAGACATTCCCTCAGGCTGGCTCTTCTACGACAGCCAGCCTCCCTCTTCTGGATCAGAGTTTTAAATCCCAGACAGAGGCTTGGGACTGGATGGGAGAGAAGGTTTGCGAGGTGGGTCCCTGGGGAGTCCTGTTGGAGGCGTGGGGCCGGGACCGCACAGGGAAGTCCCGAGGCCCCTCTAGCCCCAGAACCAGAGAAGGCCTTGGAGACTTCCCTGCTGTGGCCCGAGGCTCAGGAAGTTTTGGAGTTTGGGTCTGCTTAGGGCTTCGAGCAGCCTTGCACTGAGAACTCTGGTAGGGACCTCGAGTAATCCACTCCCTTTTGGGGACTGACGTGAGGCTCCCGGTGGGGAAGGAGACTGACCTCTCGGTTCACGTGTCTTGCCATAGAGCCACTCTCCTGAGTGGGTTTTTCTCCTGATCGTTTGGGCCAAGTGACTTCTCTCTGAACCTCATATTTCTCTTCTGGGATAATAAATGGTCACCCTTTCAAGGGGTTGTTTTGGAAGATATTGTGAACAATGGTAAATAAGGGCTTAATTAATGAGGGTAAGCCCTCAGTAAATTGTCACTGTGTGTTCATTTCTTCCTCTGTGTGGATCGTGACCGAGAGCCCTTCCCCCTAGCCTCCTCCTGGTATGGGTACCCAAAACCTAGGTGAGCAGGGATCTCTCCCAGGGGCAGAGAGCTTGTGTACTCTGGGTGTTAGAGGGCTAAAATATAACCAGTCAACACCACGTTGCCCATTTCTGGTACTTCCGGTAGCAGCCTGAGTCTCAATTATCTTGCCCAGATGATCTGAACTCTGACCTCTAGCCTGTTTCAGCATAGGCAGAGAGCTTGAGTAGGTGAGTTTGCATTCCTCATAGCAGCTGGCTGAGCCTAGTCTGGACTTCTCTTTGACCTGTAACCTACAGGCCCACAGGCCCAAGGCAACCACAGGTTGCTTCCAGGGTTACCACACAGGTGGTTTCTCATTTCTAATGCTAGGTTTTAGATAATTGTTGTAAGTGAGGGGCCCTGGCAGGCAGGATGACATCCTGCCAATAGGAGTTTTCTGTCACTTTCCCACAGAGCCCTGGCTACTACATACTCTTGCTCAATTTCGCCAGTAATTGCGTCAATGTGTTCATATCAAGTTTGGGAAGAACATCTTGGAATTGGTCAGACGTGAACTGTGGTAATAATGGGGGCTTGTTTTTTTAAGCAGATAATTAAATTCCTTTGCATTTGATGATTATTCTGGGAAGCAGACTAGTCCCATAAAATGAAATGGACTCTGCCTTGCTGCTAAGTGTCTGACTTGAGACATGCTATCGAGTTTCTCAAAATCTCTTCCTTGTGTAAAATGTGGTTGTCGATGATTACCTTACAGGGGTTTTTTTAAGACTAAATGAGATCGTGTACATTAAATACAGGCACTCAGGCTGGGCATGGTGGCTCACGCCTGTAATCCTAGCACTTTGGGAGGCTGAGGGGAGTGGATCACTTGAGGTTAGGAGTTTGAGACCAGCCTGGCCAATATGGTGAAACACCATCCCATCTCTACAAAAATACAAAAAAGTTAGCCAGGGGTGGTGGCATCGCAGCTACTCAGGAGGCCGAGGCAGGAGAATTGCTTGAACCTGGGAGGCAGAGGTTGCAGTGAGTCAAGATTGTGCCAGTACACTCCAGCCTGGGCGACGAAGCAAGACTGTCTAAAAAAAAAAAAAAAAAAAAAAATACGGGCACTCAATACACCGTATAATAATAATATAGTAATAATATTTGCTTAGGATCTTTAAAAAGTTTCATTTTTTCAGACTCCCACAGAAATGGCTCTGCACAGCAGAGTGAAGGGGGAGAGAGACTGAGTCTCCAGGCCAGAAAAAGGCCAGGTTTTTTGCTTTTGTTTTTAGTTGTTGCCTGGATATTGCACAGAAAGAAAAAATAATTAGCAAGTTAAACAAAAGTACCGCAAAGTTGATTACATTGGTATTTGAGTATCACATCTTCTCTCAGAAGCGTAAGAGACAAGGTCGTGACCATACCTCTGCTTAGTTTTGTTTTGTAATGGTGTTGCTAGTGATCGGCTTGTCACCAGTTACTGGTGTTTCTAAATGGACTATAATTGGCTACTTGAAAGGACTTCCTGAGAAAGAACATTTTGGAGGACGAGGAGAGAGTGCCTTCTCTATTTTGGCTGCTTTCATGTGACATGCAAGAGACCATGACGTTTAGGCTGCTGCTGAGGCAGCCCCAGAAATGGGGGCCGAGAGGTCTTTTCTTCATTTTAATAGGGTCTGTAGGTTTGGGTGGTTAGGTACAGTTCTCAGAATGGAGGTTCCTGGCTATGAGGCCTTGAGAAAGCTGAAAGTCTCCTTGGGAGTGTGTGGGTGGGGGGAGTCGAGCCCATCTGTTCATGGGCAGGTGTCAGCCAAAGCCCTTGCGGGTGGTTTTGAGGTTGGTGGGAGAAAGCATCCGTGGGGTTTAGAGTTGTGGCCTTTTCACTACTTGCAGTTCCTTTCCCCGACTTGGCTTTACTTTCTGGTGTCCAGGGGTCTGGGCCAGATGCTGAGATTCCTCTCAGCTGACAGGTGTGGGTTATGGGCAAACCCTTCCCTGGAGGACATAAGGCACCGGATTGGACTGCTGATGGGTTGCTGTTGGAGTTGTCAGGGCCTTGGAATAGTCTTCAGATAGACTTGGGTTAGTGTGACCTGGGGCAGGCTGCAGGTTTGGAGCCATAGTACCCCCCGCCCCCACACCGGGCACCCTGCTCTGGGCTAATGTGAGGCTTGCAGGAGTGAGTGATGCAGTGGGAAGGGGGGCCTTTCCTGAGGATTCTACAGCTTTCTCCAGGGAATCCTCCCAGGTAGTTTAGGCCTGCAGGTGCTATGCTATCCTTCTTTCCTAACCCTGTCTCAGGTCCTCAGCGGGGCCATGCGGCATCCACTTATAACCCTGCAGCGAGGCCCTCTTTTCTGGCCACCTGGGTGTTTGCCTGCTGAGATGGGAGGAACAGTGGCCTTGGGCTTCTTCCCCCGTCATGTTTATCTCTGCTCAGATTGGGCAGCAGCTCAATGGGACTTGACCAGCTGTGGCACTGCCAGTCTGAAGATGAGTAGGGTGATGGGGGGAGGTGGGCAGTACCTGAAGCTGAACTGGTGAGAGAGGCAGGCTGGCCTGGGGGCTCAGCTGGGGCCTGGGATGGTTGGTACAGTCCCCTCAGGGGGGTAGGGGAGTGAGTGTTAGACTGCTTAAGCCTCAGAGGCCGCTCTTGCCCACCTATGCTTTGAGGAGATCCTCTTCATTTGTTCAAAGGGAAGACTCTGATCTAGAGATGGGCACTTGGACCAGCAAACAGCAGCTACAGGTAGCCAGGGCACCCGAGGAGCACTTGCTCATGAGCCGGTTTCCCTGGTTTTTATGGGGGCTGTTGCTGAGCGTCTGCCAGGGTTTGTGTCCTAGCACTTGCTGGTCTTTGCTGGGCTCTCAGCTCTCAGGTGTTTCTCTACCAGCACGTTTCCCCCTCCCTCATATGCACACATGTGGACACAAGCAGGCTGCCCAGGACAGAGTGTACTTTGAGGCTTGGGAAAGGACTCTCTCTCGCCCTTTTGGGGATGAGCCTTGGAACCTCATCACCTTCCGGCTTGGGGTGGAGCTTCATCCTGGGGGTTGAAGCTTTAGGCTCAGATAACTAGTCTTGTAAGCCAGTTTTGTCCTGTTGTTTTTTTCGTGGAAAATAATGTATTGACGTATACACAGACATTCTTTGTCTAACAGTCTGAGATTGAGAAATACCCTCCATGACTATTTGGTTTGCTTTCATGGTGAAACTTGGTCGCTTTCTTAGACACAGCCTATGGCAATAAGAGTGATCCCTGGCTGCTGTAATTCATTCCAGACTTTGAGCAAACACAAGGCACCGCCTCCACCTGCAGTGGAGCCTCTGATGAACCAAATGGAAACTCCTTGGGGAATGGGGAGTAAGAGCCAAATGTGGGATTGGACTTAAACTGCAGCTTCTTAGAACTGTAGCATTCCACGATGGGATTGTCTAGTGCTCTTCCTGGAGGTTACTATTCAATAGTTGGCTAGTGCACAGGTTCAGGGGTGACCTGATATGCCCTAGCGTTTCAGAAGATCCCTGCAAGGTGTGTCTTTTGGTCCATCTGAAGGGTCTTGTATGGTGATCTTGTATGGATATCCGTGACGGCTAAGGCATCTGATAACTTCATTCCTTCAGTTCCAGCAGTGTTCCTGTATTATGCTGGGCACTAGAGCTACAAAGAAGAAAACAAAGTGCCTCCTCTTCAGGAACTCTTAATTTAGGCAGGGGAGGCATAATTGAACAGTGCTGAGGTCATCTAGGGGAACCAAAGTGTGTATTTATCCCCTTCCCTATCACTCCCCTCCCTCCTTCATTTCTTCCTTTCTTCTTTCAGAAACTCCAAGTTCATATCAAAATTCTCCAGCCCTGGTTTTATTTGGTTGTGTGAAAATTTTCCTCTAATTTCTGAAGCTATGCATTAGTTCTGCTGAGTAATCTTTAACTTGCTGCTTTATAATGATTATAATGAGATATCACTGGGTATTATGGTCTTTGGGTAGCAGCAGGGTAGGGATTTCCAGGCTGGGACTAAGCTAATTTATGGGTTGGGAATTATGGGGCAGTTAATAGCAAGGCAGTCCAAGCTTTCCACAGATTCCACCCTAGGGACCATCCAGACTTAAGGAACAGGGCCGGCAGGCTCATCCCCTTTGCACTCAGCTGGGCTATGGGTGTGTGTTTGTGAAAGAGGTTTATTCAGTAGTCATACCTGCTGATTTCCCTGCTATCTGTTTACCCAGTGCCTCCTGTACCTTGTTTCTTACTCTTTGTTCTCTGCTCTTACTATGAAGAAGCAGAGACTGGAATTCTGCTTGAACCCACATCTACCTGGAAATTCCAGTTTTTCTTGTCCAGTGGAGCAGCAATCCAGTTGTTTTAGGACAAATGGTCTGCCCTTGAAGCTTAAATCCTTTGAGGGCCTGGCATGGTGACAGTTTTACATTTGGCTTTGGTATAGACTGGTGTGGTCCCTGGGCAGTGAGGTCACTGTAAGGCCAGCCAGCCAGACCCTGGCTCCTAGGGGAATTAACAAGGCATGGGATTAGACTCACAGGGTCCCTCCTGTCCCTAAACTTGGTAGGGGTTCCTGGGAGCCAGACTGCGATTAAGATTGTAGAGACCTGAGACCTGAGTTGTAGGGGCCTCTGTGTTGATCTGGGCCATTGCCGGGTGAGCTGAGGCGGTCACTAGCTCAAGGAGTGATCTCAGGATATTGTTCTGTAAGTCAGAGACCTCCAGGTTGGAGAGTGGGGCTTGGGGGTGGGGGACAGGGTTTAGTGGGGAGCTGGTTCTGGGTGAATGTGGCCTAAAGGGATTTGTCCTTAGAAGACAGAGGGGTGAGTCACACACTCAGTGCTTCAGGTTCCACTTTGCGGCTTGGCCTCAGCCCGCCCCTTCCCTGCACAAATGAAGGCCAGGGGCTATATAATTGGCTGTTGCTGAATTCTTTGGCAGTGATTTTAAAGTCTGGTCTGGGTGTGTTATGTAGCTGCTTCTCTATCCACTCCCCACACCCGCTGCTTCTCCAGAGCCCCTCACAAAGCCCAGGCAGAGAGAGAGAGAGAGAGAGAGAGAATGACTTGCCTCACAGAGATGTTGGGGATAGGGATAGGGGTATGGGTCTTTGCTTTTGCCTTTTGAGGGGGGATAATCTCTTCCTTCATTTTAAAAGTAAAAAGTAATGCAGGCTCATTGAAAATAATTTGAAAAGTTGAAAGAGATATAAAAGCACACCCAAATTCCTATCACCCAAAAGAAACATACCGGCATATTTCCTACTAGTCTTTTTCATGTTTAAGAATATAGCTGATATATTTTTTTTTCTTTTTCTTTTTGAGACAGGGTTTTTGCTCTGTCACCCAGGCTGGAGTGCAGTGATCACGGCTCACTGCAGCCTCGACCTCTCGGGCTAAGCGATTCTCCCACTTCAGTCTCCCGAGTTGCTGGGACCACAGGTGCACACCGCCATGCCTGACTAATTTTTGTATTTTTTGTAGAGATGGGGTTTTGCCATGTTGCCTAGGCTGGTCTCGAACTCCAGAGCTCAAGTGATTCACCTGCCTTGGCCTCCCAAAGCGCTGGGATTATAGGTGTCAGTCACCACACCCAGTGTTATAGCTGTTGTCTTTATAGATGAACAGATAGATTGACATAGATTCATGTAGATAGCCTGGTGTTCAGCATTTTTCATTTAAGATTCTGTCACAGACTTGACCCTATACCTTTAAAAATCACAAAGGCAGTATCATAGTCTGTCAGCTGAATATGCCATAACTTAAAAAAATCATTCAACTGTTGCTGAACACACACATATACATATATAGTTTTTGTTTTTTCTTAGTGATGTAGTGATGCTTGTGCAGAAAGCTTTATGTACTTTTTGGATGGTTTCTGTAGGAGAGCTTTCTAAAAAAGGAAAAAAAGTGTTGAATGTTTTTTGAGAAGGGCTAGATTTTCAAGCCAGTCTTACAAAAGGATAGACTCATTGGAAATTCCAGATTTGCTTAGTGCTGGCAGATGAGTATCACTTATTGCTGAACAATGTGTCTAGAATTCTGATTAAAAAAGAAACTAGGTCCAGGAAGTGCCTGGGGGCAGGGGCAAAGGGCCAGGCTGCAGGATAGGCTCTTAGGATCTGGCTGAGCAGAAATCTGCTGTGAACAGAATCGGTGGGGGTGATGCTTTCTCAGTAACTTCTCCATTTGTTTCTTTAGCAGCTAAGTCCCTGTGCTGGACTTCTGTGGACTACTGTGGCTCTGGGGCTGTGGTTGTGGGTGAACAACAGCTAGCTAAACCAGTGCTGTTGACATCATTGAGATGTGACGCACAGGAAGGTGGGAGCAAGCTTGCAAATCAGATTCTGAAACATATAGCACAGCTCTCCCACCTCCAGGTGGTCCTGAGATCTAGGGAGGAGCCATAGTGAGAAACTTTAGGTTTCTAGGAATTCTCTTAGGGAGAAGCTCTCTTAGGGAGAGGCAGAACCTGGTTCTCAGTTGGGGCTGATTCAGGTGGGTTAGATCAATAAAGCCTCAGGCCAGTGTGCCAGGCTATTCCCAAGGAGTATACTTTGAAGTTACTCCCTTTAGAATGTCCTCAGTGGAGATAAATTCTCTCTGAGGAGCAGTTTTGTCTGCCGGGGTCATTTGGCACAAAGCCTGGAGTGCTAGGGCGAGGTTGCACTGAGGGAAGGGGCAGGATTATGTCAGCAGTGTGACGGATACAGTGTGAGGTCAGGCTCCTTCCTGCCCCACCACGGGGGCCTAGAGGTCATGGGGAGGGTCCCTGGCAGGGGATTCAATCATTGCTTGGCCCCATGACAGAGTATATTCTAAAAATGCCTTAAGTTTTTTTCTTTCAAAGTTTCTTCCTGTTTTGCATAATGGCCTTTTGCCTTTGACATCCTGAAACCGCAGAGCTGTCATTGGTGTTGCAGGACACTGCCAGCTTGAAAAAAATCAACAACAAAAAAAGAAACAGGAAAGGATGTGGAGTTCAGGGTGCGGCCTAGGGAAGCTGGTATTTGCGTTATGGGATTGTGGGGATGTGGTATTAAGGTGTTGGGTAGCGCCTGACATTTAGAGGAGTACTCTGGGCAGAGTCCCTGCCTGCCCAAGAATAGGTAGAATTGAGTCTTCACACCAAAGTCAGGAGAGACCCCCTCCCCCCAGGAAGAGAATGAACAGGGACTCATTTCCTCATTCAGCAAACTTTTATTGGTAACTACACTATATGAAGTGTGAGAGATAGACATGAACAAGAGAGGCCCCCACTCTTGGGCAGTCCCTTAGTAGTAGTAGATAGACTCTGGCAATATGGTGTGGTCAGAGAGAGGAAGCCTGGGTGCTTTGAGGGTACTGAGGAGGTGCAGGGAGCCAAATGGGTGGTCTGGGCCAGGGCCAGAGTCAGAATGAAGGACCTCTCTTCCAGACGTTGATTTTAGCATCTCTGTCTCTCAGTATGTTTGAACAGTCTCCCTTATTGGAAGGGCAGGAGTCTACTGCTAAAAGTAACCTGCGATTTCCTCTACTTGCTGTCATGTGGAAAGAATACTAAAGCTGAAATTCCAAAAGTTGCACACCTTTACCAGCAGGGCAGGAGAGGAAAGGAAATGGAGGCAGAGTGAGCTGAAGATGATAAAAGAAAGAGAAGGTGGTGCAGTTTGGACTGTTATGGACAGAGGAAGTCTGAGGGTAGCTGGACTGAGGGATCAAAGGGAGGCAGTTGAAAGGGAAGAGAGCTGCAGAGAGGGATTTCTTGGTCTGCAGAGGGTAGGAGCAAGCCTTGAAGGCTGCTGGAGTGAGGATTCCGAGCCCTGGTCTTTATTCTTTTTCTAATTCATTACATCATTTTAGGCAAGTCCTAACTCCTTTGGTCTCTGTTGTCTTTCTGAAATTTGAGTGGGCTGGGCCTGCTGGTCTTTAGCCTCTGTCTTTCTCTACCTCCTAGATTCCAGTTTGGCGAGTGGGGGGGAAAACCTGGTTGTATATGCAACGTGAAAGGCCTCTGGAATTCCTTTTGAAGCTCACTACCCATGAGGCTTCTGCTAAGGATTTCATCATGTCTGTCTAAGCAGACATAAAAATTTTAGCAGGTGGATGACCCGTAGAAATGGCACAAGGAATGTTTCTTTCTGTCACACTGTGGTATTTGATTTAAGAAAGTTGTTATCCTCTCTGTGCCTCAGTGTTCTCACTTGTAAAATGGCAATAACAGTATCCACCTCATAGATGTTATGAAATACAGGTAGTAGCCACGAAAGGGCTTAAAACAGTGCCTAACACAGAATAAGTTGTGAATATATGTTATTTATTATTGGTAGTATAATGCTTATTTGTGAAGATTTTGGCTTTTGCTTTATAGGACCTTTTTTTTTTTTAGTTGAAAATACAATGTTACCATGTTAAATGTTAAAAAAAATTCTACTTACCATTGTAACAGAACATGCTCCCACTTCTGTAACAGAGCTTGCTATTACTTTTCAAATGCATACATATTCCAATGCATATATTCCAATGCAGTTGTAGAGTGAAACTGTTTGCATGCAGCCATTTTTATCCAACATTATCTTATAAAATGTTATGTTGTTTATGATTATCCTAATTATCTTTTGTTGCTGTCTAGTATCCTTATAGATATTCCATTAGCATACACTATTCCAGGTTTCACTATCGTCGATAATCTAGATATGAACATTTTTGTAGTGTGTAGCTCTTTGCTTCAGTTGAATTACTTTCCTGGGATAAATTCCTGGGGAAGAATTTCTAGGCCAGAGGATATGGTCATCTTGACAATACTGATTCACATTGCTGCATTGCTTTCCAAGAGGTTTGGAATCATTCACAGGTTCTAAATTGGAAAATCCTGGCTTTTGAAGTATGTGGATTCTAAGGGCGATTTGGATCTAGCTGGAGCCTCACACTGACACTTCCAGCCAGTGTGTGTGTGTGTGTGTGTGTGTGTGTGTGTGTGTGTAGTTCCCTATGCTGGACACCGTGTGTGTGTGTGTGTGTGTGTGTGTGTGTGTGTGTGTAGTTCCCTATGCTGGACACCATGTGGCCTTTCTGGACATTAGGGTTTTCCTGTGATTGCCTCAGAGCAGTTCCTGTTGAATTCACTCTGTGTCCACAAAAGGAGCCTTACTGTGGCTCTTTCAACACCCACCTACCTTTGCCAAGTTGGTTTACAGAAAGTAAGAACATTCTTTCCTTCTTCCTTGATATGTGGCGCTAAACCTATAGCATGGGGCAGGCTCTGGCTTTAAAAACCTGACTTAAAAATAATGGTGTTGATCAAAAAGTTTGTGGATCAGTTTTTGGAAACACTGCATGTAGCCATCCATAGAAACTTATATTCTGTTGGGCTAGCCTGGGCGCCTGATCATTTAACTCATGTGGATGAACTTCTATGTAATAGCCCTGGTGTATGGGATCCAGAAACAGGGCCCTAATGAAGAAAGGCTTTTAAATTATGTTGGATAAAAATAAGTTGTTACAATAGCCCAAAGTCTGCAAATATGAATTGCCAGTTCTGTCCTTGTAGTCATCCACCATGTGCCTGCATCTTTTGTAGACTCTTGTAGATTCAGAAGCCCACTGAATTGCATAAATGATGGAATGATTTTAGACTTAGTGATTTCAGTGACTAAAAGTTTACAGATCCTGGCCGGGCACAGTGGCTCACACCCGTATTCCCAGCACTTTGGGAGGCCGAGGTGGGTGGATCACCTGAGGTCAGGAGTTTGAGACCAGCCTGGCCAACATGGTGAAACCTTGTCTCTACTAAAAATACAAAAATTAGCCGGGTGTGGTGGCATGCACCTGTTGTCCCAGCTACTTGGGAGGCTGAGGTGGGAGAATGGCTTGAACCTGGGAGGCGGAGGTTGCAGTGAGCCCACATCAGGCCACTGCACTCCAGCCTGGGTGACAGAGTGAGACTCTGTCTCCACCTCCCCCGCCCCCCGAAAAAAAAAAAAGTTTACAGATCCAGCAGATGGGGCATATTCAATTTGTGACAGCCACTCCCTTCACCTTATAGCTATGTCATATGTCTTCTTCTCCTTTGACTGCATTCTGCAGCAGTCAGTTGTGACTTAATATGGCACTCTGGGCCCACTGAATTAGGTCAGAGCTGCTAGTAGTATATTGTTCCTAGAGACCTAGGGCAAGATTTTCTTACTACATAAAATGAGGGAGATAATTTCTTACCTCAAGATGTTGGTAAGAGGAGTGAATGAGGTTAGTTATATGGTAATATCAGTACTCTGAATGTCTTTTGATCAATGCCTAACTCATCTTCTTGGGCACAAAAGGCATACAGTCAGCACCCTTAGGCCACATATAAAATTCCTCCAAATGCAGGTTTTCATCTGCCTTGGGGCAGAGTCAAGAGAAAGAAGAGGAAGAGGCGTGAGGCTCTGACCACAACTTAGGGACAGAATATAGCCCAAAGCGAGTACCCCAGGCCACAAGGAGAAGGCCGCTATCTTGTTGAATCCACAGCACTGGAAACTTGGAGTGTGTGTTCCCCTGTGTCAGTTACACTGGAATTTTATGGCTGCTCACATTCTTCCCTTCAGGTGGACGTTGTTCATCAGTATCCTGGGCAAGAGGCCATCATAAACCACAGACAGCTGAGTGATTAGGAAGAGGAGCTGAAGAGGGAGCATTAGATGTTTGATTGAGTCTTAGGTGAGAAAGTATATCATTAAAACAAAAAGATAGATGTAGGCGGGCTCAGTCTTGTGTGCCTGGTGTGTTGGTAGAAAAACTAAAGCACAAGCCTGTAGATAACCTGCTTTATTCTACCTCGGGGCTGGTGTTGGAATCCAGGATGCCAGACCCTAAAGTCCAGCTCTCTTTCCAACCTACTGAATAATCCGAGAGAAATCATGTTCTCTCTCTGGGCCTCAGTTTGCCCATGTATAAAATGAGATGAAGGATTGGCTGGGATGCTCTCCAGAGTCTCTTCCTGCCTGGAGTTCTGACGTAGCCATGTACTCCTGCTCAGCATCGCTAAATGGCTTTGTGGTAGGACCATTGAGTGCTGCCTCCATTAGGGCCAGCTATGTAATGCTGGGGTGGCTGTCACTGGGCCCTAAGAGCCAGGATTGGTCTTACTGGAGAAATCCACATCCACCTAAACTTAAGACCCAGGGGTGTCCAATCTTTTGGCTTCCCCAGGCCACACTGGAAGAAGAATTGTCTTGGACCGCATATAAAATACACTAATTATAGCCGATGAGGTTAAAAAAAAAAAACTCAATATTTTAAGAGAGTTCATGAATTTGTGTTGAGCTGCATTCAAAGCCATCCTGGCCGCATGTGGCCCATGGGCCATCGGTTGGACATGCTTGCTTTAGACCTCCCAGCAATTCTAGTCTCTAAACAGGAAATCAAAAGTCAAGATGAATAGATAAGTTGGTCAGTGTGAAAAAGTAATTGGTGGGAGCCACTGTAGATGCAGGGTTCTAGGCTCCATCAACAACCACCTACATCACTGAACGAAAGATAATGCTTGTTCAGCACTTATTACATGCCAACCATGGTAAAAATACTTCAGATGCATTGTTTTCATGAACTCTCACAGCAGCTCTTTTTCTTGCCTAAATGCCCCGTTAGAACCTCCAGTACAATGTTAAATAGATATGCTAAGAGACAACATATGTGTCTTGTTAGGGGGAAAATATCCAGTCTTTGACTATTAAGAATGGTGTTAGCAGTGGGTTTTTCCTAGGTGCCCTTTATCAGGTTGAGGAAGTTCCTTTCTATTCCTGGTTTGTTGAGTATTTTTATCATGAAAAGGTGATGGGTTTTGTCAAATGCTTTTCTGTGTCTGTTGAGATGATCATGTTTTTTTGTCATTTATTCTATTGATATGGTATATTATACATTGATTTTTCAGATATTAATCTTGCATACCTGGGATAAATCCCACTTGGTCATGGTGTATAATTCTTTTTATTTGTTGCTGGATTGAGTTTGCTAGTATTTTGTTGATTTGTATTCATAACAGATAGTGGTCTGTAGTCTTTCCCTCCCTCCCTCCCTCCCTCCCTCCCTCCCTTCCTTCCTTCCTCTCTCTCTCTCTCTCTCCCCTCCCCTCCCTTCTTTTCCCCTCCTCTCCCCTCCCCTTCCCTTTCTTCTCTTTCATAGTTGTTTACCACTGTCAGAAAAGGTCTGTTCGTTTTCTTTCGTCGTGAGATCTTTGTTTGGTTTTGGTATCAGGGTAATACTGCCTCAAAAAATGAGTAGGGAAGTGTTCCTTCCTCTTCTGTATTTTGAGAGAGTTTGTGGTCGGTTTTTATTAATTCTTCTTTAAATATCTGGTAGCGTTCACCAGTAAAGCCATCTGGGCCTGATGTTTTCTTTGTGGAAAACTTTTTGATTCCTAATTCAGTTTCTGGTTATAGGTCTATTCAGACCTTCTATTTTTTCTTAAGTCAGTTTTGATAGTTTGTGTCTTCCAAGGAGTTTGCTTCATCTAAGTCATCTAATTTGTTGGCATACATTTCATAGTGATTCCTTATGATCCTTTTTATTTCCGTTAAAGTTGGTGTAGGGATAGTCCCTCTTTCATTACTGATTATAATAATTTGAATTTTCTTTTTTTCTTAGTCTTGCCAAAAGCTTGTCATTTTTATTGATCTTTTCAGAGGACCAACTTTGAGTTCATTATTTGTTCTCTTTGTTCTTATTTTTCTGCTTCATTAACTTCTCTAATCTTTATTCTTTCATTCTGCTTGCTTTTGGTTAAGTTTGCTTTTTCTGGTGTCTTAAGGTAGAAGGTTAGGTTACTGATTTGAGATTTAAAGATCATGCTCTTTAAACGTTTTGATAGATACTGTCAGTTTGCCCTCTGGCTTTTTCTCATTAACAGTGTATAGGAGTGCTTATTCCTCACACTCATACCAGCCCTGGGTGTTACTAACCTTTATATATTTGCCAGTATCATATTCAGACATAGTATCTTGTTTTAATATGTTTCTCTGATTACTGATGAAGTTAAGCAAATTTTCACGTGTTTATTGGCCATCTGTCTTTCTTTTTTCATCCTTTCTTTCAAGATGGGAGTCTTTGCCATGTTGCCCAGGCTGGACTCGAACTCCTGGGCTCAAATGATCTTCCTGCCTCAGCCTCCTGAGTAGCTGGGACTATAGGCGTGAGCCACCATGGCTGGCTTGCCCATTTGTATTTCTTATGTGAGTATTTTTTCTTTTTTTTTGAAGTGGAGTCTCACTCCATCCCCCAGAGTGGAGTGCAGTTGTCCGATCTTGGCTCACTGCAACCACCGCCTCCCAGGTTCAAGTGATTCTCACACCTTAGCCTCCCAAGTATCTGGGACTATAGGTGTGTGCCACCACACCTGGCTAATATTTGTATTTTTAGCAGAGATGGGGTTTCACCATGTTGGCCAGGCTGGTTTCAAACTGGCCTCAAGTGATTCACCTGCCTCGGCCTCCCAAAGTGCTGGGATTACAGGTGTGAGCCACTGTGCCCAGCTGACTTTTTTTTTCTTTTTTTTAACCCTTTTTTTTTTTTACCCTTTTTTTGGCCCATTTTTTTTTACCCTTTTTCTTTTAACCCATTTTTCTATTAGTTTTAAAAATATGTTTGCAGGAGCTTTTTATATTGTGGATTTTTCTTGTTTATTACATATCATTTGTAAATATGGTCTCTCCATCTGTCACTCTTCTTTATCTCTGGTTTCTTTAGCTATGTAGAAGTTGTTATGTTATGTTATGTTATGTTATGTTATGTTATGTTATGTTATGTTATGTTATGTTATTTTTTGGAGAGGGAGTCTTGCTCTGTCGCCCAGGCTGGAGTGCAGTGGTGAAATCTCGGCTCACTGCAACCTCTGCCTCCTGGGTTCAAGCGATTCTCCTGCCTCAGCTTCCCGAGAAGCTGTGATTACAGGCACCCGCCACCACACCCAGCTAATTTTTGTGTTTTAGTAGAGACGGGGTTTCACTATGTAGGTCAAGCTGATCTCAAACTCCTGATCTCAAATGATCCTCCCAAAGTGCTGGGGTTACAGGCGTGAGCCACTGCACTCGGCCAGAAGTTTTGAATTTTTATGTGTTTAAATCTATGTTTTCCTTTATGACTTCAGGTTGCTTTCATACTTAAGCAGGTCTTCACCATCCCAAAATGATAAAATTTTTCTCCTGAGTTTTCTTCTAAGTTGGTTCTTTAGAAGCCACCAACTTGGCTTCGACAGCAAAAGATGAACAGAATTTCTGTTCAACTCTCATGCTGCAAGAAGCTTTATGTAATACTCCAGGGACCCTTTAAGGTCCCAGAGTTTTCCTCCAAATCTATCAGTGATTCTAGTGGCTAAGAGTAGAAATGTGAAAATTTAGCCATGTGTGCTGATAGAGCTGTAGTAATTTGTAAGCTCTGAAGTTCTAAGGAGTCAGGGGAGAAGGGAAAGTAACATTTATTGAACATCTATTAGCTCAATAAGAACATGCGATAAGTATGTATATGTATTATTTCACTTACATCTGAAAGGAAGGCATAATTATCCCCACTCCTTAGAGAAGGAAATTGGAGCTGGCTACATTTAAAGTAGTCCTGACACCAGAGAGATATTGCCAGGAGTACTTGGCTGGCTGAGTGCCCAGATGGCCCATAGGAGTAGTGGGCCCTCCACAGTCCAAGGTCTGGTTCTAGGTGGAGAGAGAAGGATGTGCTCGTAGTCAGCACCGCAGCTCCAGAAAATCTGCTGGGGCTCCAAAACTGATTAGAGGGGCAGCTGACTCAGTAATAAAACTCCCAGGAGACTTACTTACATACTGGAATGCAAAGTTGCAGCTTTACTGGGAAGATTAGAACTGTTATTGAGTAGCTTAGAAATCTCTGGCTGAATTCACTGCAAGGGAAGCCGCAGGATAAGCTAACTGCTGGTGAGTCAGCAGTCAGAGCAGGGAAGTGAATTTAACATTAGATGGGTCAGTCTCTCGTGGCTGATGAATTCATCCCCACAATACTGTACACCTGCCTTAGGGACCTTTGTCTGGACTAGGGGTTGGGGTCCCCCTCCTTTGTACAGCCCTGGAAGGACACATCCAGCTCCATCCGCCATCTCTCCCTTACTTATTTCCTTCCTTCCTTCCTTCTTTCCATCCAGCCATCAAGCTTCCTTTCATGGCCAATAATCATCATTGGGGTCTACTCATGGACTCTCTTGCCTCATGTATTTGTTTTATTTTGTCCTCATTCCCACTTCTATTTCCCAGGTATATCACAGGCAACTATTCTAACGTATTTATAGTTTGTGTATCTGTTTTTGCTCTTGCCAAAATGGAAGCCACTGCTTTATACATAGATGTATTCTTAACTTTAAAAAAAATTTTTTTAGATTAACCTACAATAAAATTGGCTTTTTGGCATATAGTCTATAAATTTTAACACATACATATTTTTGTGTATCTACCACCACAATCAGGATACAGAACAGTTCCATCACCCCAAAAAAATCCCTCTTGTAGTCACATTCTCCTCCCACCCTTAATCCCAGGCAACCACTGATCTATTCTTCATTACTATTGTTTTGTCTTTTTGAGGATGTCACATAAATGGAGTCACACAGTATATATACATTTTTTTAAACATATGTAAATGGCATTTTATAGCTCATTTTGATTATATGTTTTTCATCCAGTTCTGTTTTTTTTTTTTATTTTTAAAAAGTTTGACATAACTTCAGACTTACAGAAAAGTTGTTAGACTAATACAAAGAATTCCTGGATATCCTTTGGAGTCCCTAAATGTTAACATTTTACTATATTTACTTTTTCCTTCTCTCTCTCTCTCTCTCTCGCTCTGTGTGTGTGTGTGTGTGTGTGTGTGTGTGTGTATCTACCTGTAGATAGATAGATATTAATATAATTTTAGATAGATGTATCTAGATCTCTCTCTCTCATATATATGTGTGTGTGTATATATCTATATCTATATCTATATATATCTCCTTTTACCCTTAAATATTCAGTGTATATTTCCTAACAACAAGGTGATTTAAAAATATATATATAAACATAGTATAATTAACAATCAGGACATCAACATTGAAACATTTCTGCTATGTCATCTACAGGCCTTAGGAAGACTTTGTCAGGTGCCCCAATAATAGCCTTGATGGTAGAAGAAAACCATGTGTTGTATTCAGTTGTCATGTCTCTTAGTGTCTTGTAATCTGAAATAATTCCCAAGCCCTTTGGATTTCATGACAGTGACATTGTTGAAGAGTACAGGCCAGTTATTTTGTAGAAGGTCTCTCAGTTTAGGTCTGTCTGATGTTTCCTCCTGATCAGATTCAGGTTATTCACTTTTGACAGGAATACCACTGAAATGATGCTGAGTTCTTCTCAGTGTAACGAGATCTAGAGACACACACTGTCAGTTTGTTCCTTATTGGCAGTGTGAACCTTGAGGATTTCATTGTAGTGGCATTTGGCATTACTCCATTATAGTTACTATTTTACCATTTTAAATTAAAACTATCTGGCCGGGCGTAGTAGCTCATGTCTGTAATCCCAGCACTTTAGGAGGCTGAGGCGGGCAAATTGCTTGAGGTCAGAAGTTTGAAACCATCCTAGCCAACATAACATGGTGAAACGCCATCTCTATAAAAAATACAAAAAATTAGCCTGGCGTGGTGGCGCATTTGTAGTTCCAGCTACTCAGGAGGCTGAGGCACAAGGCTTGCTTGAGCCTGGGAGGCGGAGGTTGCAGTGAGCTGAAATCACGCCACTGCACTCTAGCCAGGGTGACAGAGTGAGACTCTGTCTCAAAAAAAAAAAGTAAATAAATAAAAAAATTTTTTAAGTATCTTATGGGCATATACTTGTCCTGTTACTCCTCAAACTTTCATCCACTTTTTTTTTTTTAAATTTTTTTTCTTACCTTTCATCGTTTTCTTGATATCCACTGGGTTTTAGCATCTACAAATGATTCTTGCCTGAATCAGTTATTATGGTAGTTGATGGTTTTCTAATTCCATTATTCCTTCTATGTTTGTTAATTTTGGCATTCTTCTATAAGGAAGAGCTTACCCTTTTTCCCTATTAATTAATTCATATATTAATGCAGACCTATGCATTCTTACTTCATTAAATCATAATCCTTTACTATCATTATGTATTCTGATGTTCAGACTATCCCAGATTTAGCCAATAAGATCCCCTTCAGGGGAATGGTCTTTGGGATTCCTCTTTAGAGGTTCCTGGTTCCTGTTTTCTTTTGACATATCCTATTACTCTTTGAGCATTTTTTTTTTTTTTTTTACTTTTAGGCACAGCAAGAAGTTCCATGGTCCTCTTGTTCTTTCCCCAACTCAGCCCTAGAGTCAGTCACTTCTCCAATGAGCTCTAGTTCCTTTTAGTAGAGAATCATAATTAGAAAACAAGAATCAGTGCCAAGTGTGCACCTTTGTTTTTAAGGTCCATCCACGTTGCCGTGTATATGTCCAGCATGTTGATTCTAACTGCTGAATAATACCTCATGATTGTCATCCATCCCAGTGTTTCTTTTTCCCTTCTGTAATGAGGGACTCCTGGACTGCCTCCAGCATTACCTTCACAAATATTGCTGTGAGGAAAATCCTTAAACGTTTCCTTTATGGGCAACGTGTGAGCATGTTTATGTTGATTCAGGGGTGCCAGACACAGCTCCAGAATGGCTGCCTCAGTTTACATTTCCACCAGCAGAGCATGACAGGCTCTGTGTCTCCGTGAATAATCAGCATTAACCAGCTTCCTATTTTTTGCCAAACTAATAGATGTGCTAGGATAACTCTTTGTTTTAACTTGTTTTTCTCTGATTACCAATGAGCTGGAGCATTTCTTCATATGCCTGATGGTCTTTGGGATTCCTCTTAGGTAAATTGCTTATTCATTATAATCCTTTGCCTGTTTTTCACTGGAGTTCTTATATTTTTCTTGAAGATATGCAGGAATTCCTTATACATCCTAGATATTAATCCCTTCCTGGTCTCAGACATTGCAGATATCTTCTGAATCTGTTATTTACTTATTTATTTACAATTTTTTTTTTAAGAGTTGGGGTTTTGCTCTGTCACCCAGACTGGAGTGCAGTGGTATGATCATGACTCATTGTGGCCTCGCAATCCTGGGCTTAAGCGATCCTCCCACCTCAGCCTCCTGAGTAGTTGGGACTACAGGTATGCACCACCAGACTTGGCTAATTTTATTTTATTTTTTAGAGATGGAAGTCTTAATATGTTGCTCAGGCCAATCTTGAACTCCTGGCCTCAAGCAATCTTTCCACCTCAGCCTCCTGCATCTATTATATATATGTTCACTTTGCTCATGCTGTATTTTGTTGCAACATAAAACTATTTTTCCCATTGTTTTGTGCAGTCTCTCACCAGCACTCTTCTTTTTCTGTAACTGTGTTAATGCCCTTTGTTCTTCCATATGTTAGGTATGCTGGTATAGTTGAACTCTGCTGACTCTCCTCAGTAAACAGTCTCTTTTTATGACACCTTATCCTCTACTGAATTCTCTCTATCAAGAATGACTTGGCCGGGCATGGGGGCTCATGCCTGTAATCCCAGCATTCTGGGAGGCCGAGGTGGGCAGATCACCCGAGGTCAGAAGTTCAAGACCAGCCCGGCCAACACGGTGAAACCCTGTCTCTATGAAAATACAAAAATCAGCTGGGCGTGGTGGCAGGTGCCTGTAATCCCAGCTACTTGGGAGGCTGAGGCGGGAGAATCACTTGAACCTGAGGGGGAGGTTGCAGTAAGCCGGGATGGCACATTGCACTCCAGACTGGGTGATGGAGAAACTCCATCTCAGGGGGAAAAAAAAAAAAAAAAAAAGAATGACTTGTCTTCCTCTTAGAGTGTGAGGTCTACATACAAATATTATTCTTGTATTCAGCAAATGTATGTCATAGGCCTAGTGTGTGTTAGGAACTGTGCTGTCACCAACAAAGTTTAGAGAGGTTATAAAACTTGACTGTAGCTTTTTAGAGGTGGAGGAGTGATTTGAAACCTAGGCTGTAATTCCTTCCTCCTGTGATTCCTTCCTACTGTGTTGCCTTCCCTTGAAAATTGCATTTGGGGGCCAGGTGTGGTGGCTCTCGCCTGTAATCCCAGCACTTTGGGAGGCTGAGGCGGGTGGATCACCTGAGGTCAGGAGTTCAAGACCAGCCTGGCCAACATGGCGAAACCCCGTCTTTACTAAAAATACAAAAATTAGCTGGATGTGGTGTGTGGTGACATGCACCTATATTCCCAGGTACTCAGTAGGCTGAGGCAAGAGAATCACTTGAACCCAGGAGGCAGAGGCTGCAGTGAGCTGAAATTGCACCACTGCACTCCAGCCTGAGTGACAGAGTGAGACTCTGTCTCAAAAAAAAAAAAAAGAAAAGAAAGAAAATTGCATTTAGTTCCTGTAGACTGTGTGTCAAATGTCTAAATCTCTTCTAACAAATGGCCTAAGGAGGTGCAAAGCGAAGCATCCTCACCAGCATCCTGACTTGGCAGTGAGGCATGGGACCCTGGAGGGAGTAGTGGTAAGTGTGACTCTGGAATTCTTCCTGGGCTACTTGTCAGTGACTGGCTCCAGATTGAGAGGAGAGCCCAGAGGACACAGGTGGCTGCCCCAGCCTGGAGGTGAAAGTCTTAAAATAAAATGCCAGATGCCTAGACCATTCTAAACCTTTCTGAGAAGCTGAAATCATCCCTTCTGGAAGCGCTCTAGTTCTAAAAGGACAGATATACAGCAAGATCTTCCTGGGGCTAATATGGAGTTTATAGGCAAGTAGGCCTCAGAACCTTTCCCTGGTAGTGATATCTGTGGGCAGGCACAGTTTCCACACTTTCCAGAAATTCCAGCGGAAGGAGTGAGAAGGAGGAATCTGCCCTTGAGTGAGGACCAAAGAAAGCAGAAATTCCTCTTGGGAATTTTTCCTCCAGAGACCAAACACTACTTGGGAGCTTGTTTACTGGGCTTTAAAAGCTTGTGACCCCCAGTCACTCTTTCTTGACCCCAAGGCTTTGCATTTCTGTGGCTTCCCCACTGGACAGAAGTGGAACTGTCATGCTGCCTGTTCTGGGGTCTCCCAGAGGTTTCCCCATGTCCTCTCCTTGCTTCTACTGCCCCACAGAATTGGGGATCTGTGACCACATATGGTATAGAATTAATGCTTGAGAATGGTTTAGTTCAGTGATGTCAAATAAGATTCACTTTTATGCCACCTCCATCAGTTGAAGGCCCCCCTGGCCCCTAAATTGGAAAAGATTCTGAGACAGAATCCCCGTGGGTACAGCGCAGGGACAGTAAAGGCACGTGTGCTGTGATTTGCTATCCACTGTGTGGATGCATCCAGGAATATCAGAACCCTGGAAGATTATTTAAGGGGAAGTTAGGACAGCTTTTTTGCCAATCCAAGGGTGTTCTTGAGGAAGTCTGTCTTCCTGTATGGCCTTCAGTTTCTTTCCTGTGTAACCATGGGGCCAACACATAATTCCCACAGCTCTATTGGCCCTTGTCTGCCAGGATTCTCTAGGGTCTGATTCGAGGTGGATCCTGGCCCTTTGAGGTGGCAGAATCTGATCATGGTGCTGTTTCCTTAGATTTAGGCCTTGATACCCTTGGCGAGAGCATCCTGGGCTGAGTGACCACCTGAGGTTTTTCTGGTGATTTTGTGACCCATGTAAAACTTTGAGCTTTGGGATTATTCTCTCAAGGAAATAGTGACATTTGGTGAAGAGCCTGTTTGGTGTGGCTATGTGAGGCTTAGCCAAGAAAATGCACCATTTTTATTAGGAGGTTAGGCCATCCGTTGCCACAAAGTGTCAGATGCTAGGCCTAGAGCCTGGAGAAAACTTATTTTAAAATTGATGGGGTGCTGGAGGGGTTGGGGGGTGGTGGCTGTAGCTCATGAATCAGGTGCTAAACCTAGAAACAAAAGGCCTCATGTGGCAGACTGTTTCTGAGCACAGATGAATGGATGAGCAACTGGCGCAACTTTGCCCAGTTGGTCCAGCTTCCCACTTGGCCACCTAGGCTTGCTGTGAAGACCTCGTCTGGCAGAAATGAGAGTGTTTTTGCCCCATCTTGATCTTAACTGTAATTTAAGACTAAAATCTTAGATTCTAAAACATCAAAGGCAAGATGGCTCCCAGCTCTGTGAGCTCAGCTTCTCACCTCTTAGTTGAACAAGTGCAGTGTGGGTCAATACATGATTGCTGCTCTTGCTGCCAGGAACTGTCCCAGCATAGAAAGGAATGGGACACAATCCCTGCCGTCAAGATTCTAAGGGAGGAAGCAGGCAGGTCGACTGGTGCCTCATCTCTGCAGGGCTCCAGCCAAGGTTTGTGAAGGATTTTGCAGGCATATGGAGTGGGGACTGATTGATCCCGAGAGGGGACTGGGGAAAGCTCTGAAGAGGGGATGACATTTGGTTTGAACTCCAAAAAATGGTTGCTTTACCTGTTTCCTGAAGTTTTTGAGGTGGCTTATAAGAACATATACCATAAAAAGGACCAATATAAATTTAAAATCAGAAAAAGAGAAAATGGGCTGGGCATGGTGGCTCATGCCTGTAATCCCAGCACTTTGGGAGGCCAAGGTGGGTGGATCGTGAGGTCAGGAGATCGAGACCATCCTGCCTGGCCAACATGGTGAAACCCCGGCTCTACTAAAAATACAAAAAATTAGCTGGGTGTGGTGGCACATGCCTGTAGTCCCACCTACTTGGGAGGCTGAGGCAGGAGAATCGCTTGAAACCTGGGAGGCGGAGGTTGCAGTGAGCTGAGATCGCACCACTGCACTCCAGCCTGGGCGACAGAGTGAGACTCCTCCTCAAAAATAAATAAATAAAGAGAAAATGGAACTTAGAAAATTAAGAGGAAGAGTGAAAAGGTAGATATTTAGTCAGGCACAGTGGCTCATGCCTGTAATCCCAACACTTTGGGAGGCCAAGACAGGAAAATCTCTTGAGACCAGGAGCTTGAGACTTGCCTGGCAACATCTCAGGTGAGACCTTATCTCTACAAAAAATTTAAAAATTAGCTGAGCTGTGTGGCTCGTGACTGTGATCCCAGCTACTCAGGAGGCCGAGACCACAGCCCAGGAGGATCGCTTGGGCCCAGCAGTTTGAGGCTGCAGTGAGCTGGCACCACTGCAATTCAGCCTGGGCTACAGAGCAAGACCCAGTTTAAAAAAAAAAAAAAAGATATTCAAACCATGGGTCCCAACGTAGTTATTATATTTGACCATTTGCAAAAGCTGAAAGCAAAACATGTTACACATTTTCAGAGAGGAAAATACACAGTAGTTCCTGAGTGTAAGTTGTTTTTCTTGACCTCATTCTTAAATTGCTTCATGAGGGTGGGAGGGAAGTGGTAGTTAATAAGTGAACCTGTAAACCAGCGTTTCTCAAAATGTAGTCCAGGGAATTGCATCAAAATTGCAGTTACCTACAGTGCTTGTTAAAATGCAGATTCCTGGGCCCCTGCCCCAGGCTTATCAAATCAATCTGGTGAGTAGGACTCAAGAACCTGTAAATTCACATACTTCTGCAGATGATTCTTCTTGCACTGCACAGCATGAAAGCCTCTGCAATAGACAGAAAGCTACCAGCATTGCGAAAGCAACTTGAGTGCTTGGCCTTTGAAGGTTGAGTGGGACTTTAATGAGGGAGAGAGTAAGGCATGAGAAATGGCAGTTCCACTGAGGTCAGTCAGTGGTTCATTGCTGACGAAGTCACTTTTAAGTCATGTTTTAGAAGAACTACCAAGTGTGGCAGGTCAGGCATGTGGCAGGACTGTTTCTGAGCACAGATGAATGGATGAGCACCTGGCCCCACTGTGCCCAGTTGGTCTAGCTTCCCACTTGGCCACCTACGGTCTGCTGTGTGGACCTTGTCTGGCAGTCTCCTTTAATTTATTTTTTATTATTTTTTTCTTTTTGAGATGGAGTCTTGCTTTGTTGCCCAGGCTAGAGTGCAGTGGCATGATCTCGGCTCACTGCAGCCTCCACTTCCCAGGTTCCAGCGATTCTCCTGCCTCAGCCTCCCAGGTAGCTGGGATCACAGGCAAGTGCCACCACGCCCAGCTAATTTTTGTATTTTTAATAGAGACATGGTTTTACCATGTTGGCCAGGCTGGTCTCGAACTCCTGACCTCAGGTGATCCACCCATCTCAGCCTCCCAAAATGCTGGAATTACAGGTGTGAGCCACCGCACCTGGCCTATTTTTTTTCAGCAAATTCTTTGTTTTTCTCTCTGTTCCCAAATGCAGGGTACTGAGACCACAGATGTATTCTGTTTCCTGTTGAAAAAATGTTTCTCACTTAGCTGGGTGTGGTAGCATGCACTGCAGTCCCACGGGAGGCTGAGGCGAGAGGATTGCTTGAGCCCAGGAGTTCGATAATCATGCCATTGCACTCTGGTCTGGGTAACAGAGCGAGAAACTGTCTCTTAAAAAAAAGAAAAAGAAAAAGAGGTCCTAGGGAAAGAAACAAATAGTGGCTTGGATGGTGAGTTGGTGGAAAGAACAGTGGGTGTTGGGGGTGTTGAACTTGTGTTTGTGTGTGGTGTACCCAAGACATATCATGTCAGCATTAAGAATAGACTATTCCTGTTTTCTGGTCACTGAGTTGTATGTTTTGACATCCTTATTTTGGAAGATACTTCCTTACTAGGAATGGGATAGGGAGGGGGTCACCTTTCCCATCTGTGGGTCATATTTTAAAATATTTATTGTTCAAGTTTAAAGATATAACCAAAGGTATAAAGAAAAATACCACAAACATCTGATTTAAGAAACAAACCAGCCGAGCGCGGTGGCTCGTGCCTGTAATCCCAGCACTGTGGGAGGCCGAGGCAGGCAGATCATGAGGTCAAGAGATCGAGACCATCCTGGCCAACATGGTGAAACCCCGTCTCTACTGAAAATACAAAAATTAACTGGTCATGGTGGTGTGTGCCTGTAGTCCCAGCTACTCGGGAGGCTGTGGCAGGAGAATCGCTTGAACCCAGGAGGCGGAGGTTGTAGTGAGCCAAGATTGTGCCACTGCATTCTAGCCTGGCGACAGAGTGAGACTCCGTCTCAAAAAGAAAAAAAAAAGAAAGAAATCATTTCCTACACCTTCGAAGCCTTCATGAGTTAGATTTTGAAACAGTGCAAAATGCTTCACGTGAGAATCGAGAGTCCCTTCTGGTGGCTCTCCATCCCCTGCTCTTCTGTCAGGTTTTCTTGTAGGTTTATGGAAACCTTTGTTACTTGTGCAGGTGGCAGAGAAGCAGAGAGGATAGCTGCGCGCCACCCACACAGCTAGGATTTATTGGCGTACTCCCACGTGCATGGCAGCCAAGTGGACACAACTCTGTGATGAATCCTCCCAAGAGAACTGAGGGGCCCTGATGGAGGAGCTGCTTCTTTGCAAAGCTTTCCTTGACTCTCTTCCTGTCCCCTAGTTGATTCCCCTTCTGTGCTAGTTTTAGCTTATTGTTTGTTACCTGTCACACTTAGCAGTACTGTTGGCTTTGCTGGTCTCCTTGACTACTGGGGGTAAAGACCTTTTGTTGTTGTTGTTGAGACAGAGTCTTGCTCTGTCGCCCAGGCTGGAGTGCAATGGCGTGATTTCGGCTCACTGCAACCTTCACCTCCCAGGTTCAAGAGATTCTCCTGCCTCAGCCTCCTAAGTAGCTGGGATTACAGCTACACCACACCCGGTTAATTTTTGTATTTTTAATAGAGATGGGGTTTAGTAGAGATGGGGTTTCACCATGTTGGCCAGGCTGGTCTCAAGCCCCTGACCTCAAGGTGACCTGCCTGTCTCAGCCTCCCAAAGTGCTGGGATTACAGACATGAGCCACCATGCCCAGCCTCAAAGACCTCTTCTTTACTTGCTCACCCTGCCGCCCACTCCCCTACCAACCCCTGCATGCCCTATACCACCTGGCACATGATACATACTAACTGGGTACATGTTTGAATATGAATGGATGTGGTGCTGTGAATGCTTAGGGGAAGTGGGTGAAATGCTTAAGAACCAACCTTGAGTGGTCTGGGAAGGCTTCCTGGGAGGGTGGTGTTTGAGCTAAGGCCAGGCAGCTGTTAGATTTGTTAGACTGAAGCCCTTGCAGACTTAGAGAGCTTGTGCTCTTCCCAGAATGACGGGTGAGCCACGTACAGTAAATGGTGCTTCTCATTTCTAGCCCAAGGGGCCTCAAGGGGCACCGTGATTTCACGAGAATGCTGCAAGCAAATCTTTTCTCAAGCTGGGGAATTTGGTGGTAATGCCTGGCTCAGCTTGCGGTGCGCACCTGGCCTTTGGAAGATTGGTACAGAGAGAAGCGGCCCATCCACATGAGCCTGTGGAACAGCACTGGTGGGGGAGCTGATTTGTGAAGAGGGGCTGTGCAGTGTACTGTCAGGTCTGAGACCCAGGAAGAAATTCCAGTATCCCAGCTCTCAGAATCACAGAGTTCTAGGCACTGCCTAGTTCCACGTGTTCCCAAATGTTTCCTGAATACTTGGATTTCCTGTCCAGAGAATTTTCAAAACAAACTTAGAGGCCTGACCCATGGCTGCCAAGGAAGGATTTTTTTTTTAAATTAAATTTTAAAAATCAGTCCAGCATGAAAATCTATGATGATTTCATAAGAGAAAGGACATTTTAATATTCAAAGAGTAAGAAGCACTTAATCTTGGAAGAAAGGGCATTCCTATACTTTGATTACCTTTAGTTTAATTAAAAAACACCTACATGGTCTTTACTTCTGTGATTTCATTCCTGGGCTAGTGAAACATTGTCACAATAAAGCATCAGGCCAACGCTTCTTTCGACCCACTGGCCAATCAGTTGACAAACAGTGACTAGATGTTTCAGCCTATTTTGCTGAGGCTAAAGGATTGAACTAGTGCTTCAGCCAGCATGAAAACCAGTCAGGAGTCCGTGCTGGTGTTGGCTTAGATTAGCAGGGCCTTTGATGGAGGGGCATGTATGTGTTTGGGTTTGCTGTGCCAGGCAGGGGAGCAGTGGAATTTGTCTGAATTGAGCTCACACATTGAAGTTATTGAGCGACTTACATGCAAGGCCATGACCTGGACTCCCAGCCGAGAGGCCCACGTGGCGGGGCTTGAGCTGGGGGAGCCGAGGACAGCTTACATCTGCTCATCTGCTTACGTAACCCTGCCTCCCAGCTTCCAGAGCCAAGAAAACACACAAGCCAGCCCAGCGGGGCCGAGAGCCTGTGGTAGCACACGCCATGCGCCGCACAGCAAGGGCGCCTTGGCTCGGCTTGAGGCCTGTCATGAAGCCCTCAGCCCTCTGCCTCCTCCCAGAGCTTCTCCCCACCACCCCAGGCAGTGGCTCTGAAACCTGGTCGCAGGTCTGCATGATTCTGAACAGAGGTAGTCGTTGCCTTCCTGGAGTCTGAGCTCTCTGGAGTTTCTCACTGGGACAGAGCCAGGTGTGTAGCAGAGCATGGTCCCTGCAGTATGGCAGGAGGTGTGCAGGGCATTCAGGAGGCCTCCTGGCTGGCACTCGACCCAATTAGTCATTCAACGCCAGGTCTGGGGCTGCTGTCTGTTGTCTCAAAGGTGTGAGCTGCAAGATCCTTAGAGTTGTGGAGAAAAAATTGCCAGATTGGCAAGAAGGGCAGGATTGGGGGTCAAGGTGTCTCAGTGTGTTGGAAGCATGATGGGGGTTGTGCAAGGGGCACAGCGAGTTCAGAAGGGAGCAGGAGAGTGAGAAGAGGCTGTTCAGTGATAAAGCTCTGCACAGAGCCATTGGAGGAGCAAGCTCCTTGACCATCCTTAAACCAGGGTAATTTTCATTTAGGTTCTGCCACACGCTCAGCAGGGAACTCCTGGAAGGCAGGATTTGTCTTGTCCATCCTCCCTCCCTACCTCAACCCACTCCTCCTTGGGCTGGCACACAGTAGGTACCCAGAAAGTATCAATTGAAACAAATTGAAAGTGGTCTTGATACATATCACAGGGCAAGTTTGCAGTTAACAGACATTTCAGAGTAAAGACTCTCTGGCTTGGTGCTCGATCGGCTTCTGTGGGTTGTCAGCATGCTGTGGACAGCCCCGGCATGGGAGCGAGTGGGCGTGTGTGTGTGTGTATGTGAGGGTGAGAGAGCGTTAGTGTGTGTGTTGGGGTTGGGGAGAGAGGAGGGGGAATAGAAGATGGACCACCCGGGTATCAGCTTCTGCCCTGGGGAGATGGTGGTGTCAGTTGCTGAGGGAATCCTGAGAAGCAGGTCTGGCTGTAGGTGGTGATGGTGGTGGGGTTGCATGAGAATCCATTTGGGGCAGGTTGAATTTGAGGTGCCCATGACATATGGCTAGCCATGTTCTGTTGGCTGTGAGGTCAGGAGAGAGACATGAGATGGAAACAGAGGTTTGGGAACTGTCATGTGCTTAAACCAAAGACCTGGGTATAGGGAGAGTGAGAAGAGAAGGGGGCAAAGATGGACATCCAAGAAAGAAGCTGAGAAAGCCTAGGAATTTGAGGTAAGAGGAGACGTAGGTAAATGTGACGCTTGGTGATCAAGGCTTCTTTCCACCTCTCCTATGCTGGACACTCACGTCTCCTGTCTGCTTGGAAATTCATGCTGAGGGCAGGGAAGGTGGGAGCAAGGATTTGTCTAAAGATCTTGCTTTGGATCCCTGCACTCCTCCTGGTTTACCAAGTGTCACTGGACACGTCAGGGCGTTCTGAGACCTTAGAGAGCATCCAGTCCTGTCCCTGCAGTTTACAAATGAGGAAACCAGTACCCTGAGAGTGGCTGTACTATCCACTCTCAGGATACCAAAGATCATCTGGAAAGTCACTGGTGGAGCTGGACCGGGGCCCAGGCATCTCTTCTCCTGTCCGGGGCTCTTGACTTCAGGACCACCTTTCTGAAACCCATGATGGGGCAACACCAGGACACTTTCCAGCCTGCAGGTGTCTGTCCCGCGGAAGCGAGCCAGGCCACATGTGAATTCCTGTTTTCTGGGTGGGTTTCAGAAGGTACGAGCAAGTCGGCAGGGTGACAGCCCAGGTGCTTCTTGGGTTCCCCAAAACGCGGTTATGTTTAGCAGCATCCTCAGAACCAAAGGTGGGGTGGGGGCTGCAGATGTTGTGGGGGCCCTCTGAAGTGAAAAGAGCCCTGTGACAGATCTTTTCTTCATGTTTTTCACAAGTTCACTGTGCAGCAGGGCCCCCCCAGTAGCCTTTGCCCAGGGTTGGGTGTTGGGCAGCCCAGGCCTGGCTGACCTTGTGGGGAAGGGTGTGAATGGTGGGAATCCCCGAGGGCCCTCTTTGCCCGAAAGCCCTAAGCCTTGACATCAGATGCCCATCAGATGGTCCATCGGAGCCCTACTACCCAGCTTGCCCAGTGAGAATCATCTGGGCTCCTTGTTAGGTAGCCATTTAGGTCCTTCCCAAAATCCACAGACTCTCTAAGGGAAGGGCCCGAGATGCTGTACTTGTACTAACTTCCTCAAGCAATTCTTGTGATAGGTTTGGGAAAAACTTGTCCAGGGTGACCACTGACTGAGTCCTGGTCTTCTCTGAAGAGCACAGTGCCTGCTCACTTTAGGGCACCCTGGGAGGTGGGAGCTGGCTCAGCAGGCAGTCTTATAAGGGACTGAGCTTCAAGGCCTCTGTCCCTCCAGGAGGGAGGTGCATGACCAGAGAGGGAGGCCTGAGGATCTTCTTCCCTGCCCCAGAGGGTCTGCTGCCTGAGCTCTGTGATAGCGCAGAGAGTAAAAGGATCAAGCTTGATTGAGGCCTATCTCTCAATGCGAAAGTTTGCTAGTTAAGAGGAGAGTGGGAAGGGCATTTCTGGCAAAGAGAAAAGTGTGGACAGGCATGGCTTAAGGGATGGGGAGGGAGACAGACAGAGCTGAGGGTGAAGGGCCTTTTGCTCAGCTGTGGGCCTTGGCCTTCCCTTGTGCAGGGACACACAGCCTTAGAGCCACTGGAGGTTTTAGTGGGAAAGTAATATGGTCGGGGCTGTATCTCAGAAGAAAACAAACTAATGGGAACAGGTCCTGTGATGGTGGACCTGGGTCAGCTACGGAGGGAGGGAAGATGTGAGATGTGTACTGGGGAAGGGGGTGGAAGTGGCAGCTATCTGGTGAGAGGAAGCAGGCCCACAGCTTTTTTTCTCAAGCTGTTGAATTCAGAAGGGCGAGTGATTCCGGGAGTAGGGGGTGCTTGGAGAGCCACGCGTTATTGATAAACAGGGCAGGCTGAAGCCTGCTCACTGGCCCTGGGCGGGTTCTCACCAGCATGTTTCAGGTTTTGATCTGTGCTTGTGGTTGGTGTTCCTACCTGTTCTCTAGGTTCCTTCCTTTGTTCTTGTGGCTCATTTGCTTCACAGGTGAAGCTGGTTACACTAGAGTAACAGTTCCCAAAGTGTGTTCCCTGGAAAAATGGTTCTGTAGCCAAATAAGCTTGGGAAATGGTGGGTTAAATATAACGAAGGGGGTTTTTCGACTGCACAACTTCTCAGAGCCTTTGGTGTGTGTCGTGACTTTGCAGAAGCAGGATTTAATACGCAGCATTCCCGTTCTTATTTGACCACGAGACATGTTTTTCCATTAAGCATCTTGCTGGGTCTGATGTTTTCTGGAACCCATTTTGAGGCGGTCTGGTCTGCAGAGAGTATGGGGAGCCTGGGTTCAAGCCTTGGCTCTTGACTCTCAGCAGAGCCTTGATTCCCTGTGTTGCCTGGACTGCACCACGTGTACCACATACCCGGTATGTGACGTTTTCCTCATCCCTCTTCCCACCTGCCGTTACCTCACAATCCACAATCTGCACCTCATCCATTTTTCTTCTGAGGCAAGCACTCTCTTACTAACTTACTTATCTCATCTGCATCCATGTTCTTCTAGGCCAGAAACTTGGGAGTCATCCCTCCCTCTTTGTTACTTCTTCTTCCTCTTTGTTACTTTATCCCCTCTGTTACTAAACATTCTTCTGTGTTTCCAGCTATTTCTTTTATTTTCCCTCGGTCTCCTTTGGGGTTTCTTTGCCTCCATCTCTCCCAGACCTTGGTTCACCTTCCATCGAGTCCCTTCCTGGGACATGGGCACTCATGCCACTCCTGCTACCTTCCACTTCGAAGCTAACTCCCTCCACACTGACGTCCCCAACATGCATGCATACACACACACACACACACACACACATACACACACACACACACACACTTCCCCAGTTAGGCTAGAATCAGAGAGATGATGTCAGCCATTTGTCCAAGGCCACGCAGCTGGGAGGTCACAGAGCTAAGTCTCAACCTCAGGGGTTTTGAGAAATTGCCTTCTCATCCGTGATCACTGATTTCTACAACAGCCTGTCAGGAAGTCTGGGTAGAAATTACTTCCATTTTACAGTGGAGTCAGAGCGGGGAGGGTCCTGGGCAGGCGAGTGCTTCACAGAGTGACCAACCATCTAGGTTTGCCCCACACTGAAGGGGGTTTCTGGGGATGGTTGGTCACCCTAATGCTGGATGTGGTGCCTGATGCTGGGCAGGAGGGCCCTCTCCGTGGCCACGTTGCCTCCCAGGAGGAGACATTTCCTCTGCAGCTGCAGCTGCAGCCTGGCCATCTGATGCAGCCTGTGGAGCGGTGGCGAGTCCTGTGGCCTGCTAACTTCTCCCTCCCTCCACCTCTCTAGTGGGCCCCATGCTGATTGAGTTTAACATGCCTGTGGACCTGGAGCTCGTGGCAAAGCAGAACCCAAATGTGAAGATGGGCGGCCGCTATGCCCCCAGGGACTGCGTCTCTCCTCACAAGGTGGCCATCATCATTCCATTCCGCAACCGGCAGGAGCACCTCAAGTACTGGCTATATTATTTGCACCCAGTCCTGCAGCGCCAGCAGCTGGACTATGGCATCTATGTTATCAACCAGGTGAGGCCTGGGAAGGTGGAATGAGAGAGGGTGTGTGTGCATGCAGATGTGTATCAGATGTGTGTGTAATGAGGGCAGGGGAAGGGGAGTGATTTCACAGACACCTGGCACTTACAGCGAGGAACCAGCCCCCCAGCCACCACCAGTGCAGATGAGGTAAACGCCAAACAGTGTGCTTGCCTATTGCTGTCAACTCTATAGCCAAGGGAAATGCTGGAGTGTTTTCGTTGTTCTGTTTTTGTTTTCTGGAAGTAGCCTTCCAGCAAGATTGGGAAAAAAGACAACCCTAATTATTCCAAAGTACACACTGATTATTCCCTGGCTTTGTGTAGCTGTGTATTTTCCTTTTAAAAATAAAACCACCATTTAGATGTCAGACTTTTAGGTAACTTCAAAGTTTATCCAGTCAGTCAGAGCGTGTCTCCTGGGGCACCTGGAGACAGTGCCCTTAGTTCAGGTCACATGCCTACATGCCAGCCCCTGGTGAAATATCTGGAGAAGTCTGATTCGTGGGCCATCTGAGAGTTATGTGGACTGGGCCGAGTCTGAGAAAAAGTTTCTCACTGCTCGTCTGATCCATATGTGTTGGGCTTTAGCCCTGCTTAGGAAAGTAATGCTAAGGATAGGTCAACTTTCATCACCATGGCATGGAGAATCAGATTGATCTAAGAGGCATCTTTATTGAAATAAATTTTTCAGTTTATTTGAGGAGCATTATTTTCCCAAGAGTATAACTTTGATATTTCAAGATTACCCCTAACACTTAAATTCATGTTTTTAGACTATAACCTCCTAGGTGCAATGACACATCTAACTTATCTAAGCACCCAGTTTCATTGAAATTCATTTGAAGAGTCTGAGTACGCCCATTTCTACAAGGCCCAATGTCCATTTCATTTCGAGATAAACTCTGCTTTAGGTAGGAGGATTGTTGGCAGTTTACGGCTTCCATCAAGGTCAAGGAACTCTGTGCACCTTCCCTATGACCCCAGGGGAAGCACTCGAGGACTGCTGTGGCATTGTGCTGCATCACTTGCTGCAGGGAGATTCTGAAGAAGTGTAAGGTCTCAGTCCTGCCCTGTCCCGAAGCCTCCAACCCACTTCTGGCAAGTGGGACCTTCCCAGGGAACAATTTGTTAACAGACCCAAATATCCTGTGATTGGATGGTGGCTGCCAAATGCTTTGGAAGCTCAGAGGAAGGAGAGAGAGCAATGGCTTGGAAGAACCAGGATATAAACTAGGTTCTAAAGTCTGCAGGGAGATGGGCTTCTCAGCTGGGGCCAGTGAGCAGGGACCTTAAGGCAGAAAGGAGCCTTGCATGTTCCTGGAAATTGAGATGCCCACTGGGGTAGGAAAGCACCAGAAGCTCTGGGACCAGGTGTCAGAGTTAAGCCTGTGAGGCAGGAGAGAGCAGAACAAGCCCTGTTACAAGGAAACTGAAGCAGGAGAGCAGGTGGTGGGCAAACCCCTTGAGGCTGTTTGAATTCTTCGGCCAAGTGAGGTACAGACCAGGGCCCTATGAACACCTGCAAGCAAGACAGCCACGCAGTTGTGGGTCACCTTGGAAGAATATTGGAGAATGCAAGAGAGAACAGGTAAATGTCCTGCAAAATGCGGGTCACTTTAACCCAACACATATTCATTTAAGAAAAGCTCTGTGATTGAGAAACATTTGTCTGATGCCAGTTAGCACATACCAATGACGGCAAGATTCAGGAGCCTGTTATTAAAGCAGTGGCAGCGAGCACCTGGAAGAGGCGGCCACCATCACCAGGAGCCAGCAGGGATGACTAATAAGCCGTGCCAGCTGCATCTCGTTTCTCTCTTGACAGTTGCTATGCCAGTAGATGAGGGATGTACTGTGGATACAATGCTGTCATATCTTATTCAGCAGGGCATCTGATAGCATCCCACAAATCTGCCTGAGTAGAAGACAGACAGCTGTGGTCTGGGTGCCATATAGGTAGGTTAAAATATATATTTGGGCCTAGGCGCAGTGGCTCATGCCTGTAATCCCAGCACTTTGGGAGGCCAAGGCAGGCGGATCACTTGAAGTCAGGAGTTCAAGACCAGCCTGGCCAACATGGCGAAACCCCGTCTCTACTAAAAATACAAAAATTAGCTGGACATAGTGGTGGGCGGCTGTAATCCCAGCTACTCGGGAGGCTGAGGCAGGAGAATCTCTTGAACCCAGGAGGCAGAGGTTGCAGTGAGCCGAGATCATGCCACTGCACTCCAGCCTGGGCAACAGAGTGAGACTCTGTCTCAAAAAAATAAAATAAATAAATAAATAAATAAAATATATACTTGGGTAAAGAGGATAAAAGAGTTAGCGATGATGCTGAATTTTTGAACTGAGGTGGCTGTTTTCAAGGAAGACTGGAGGGTGGGATGCTACGTCTAGATATGTTGCAGTTTAGGTGAATGTGAGACTTCCCTGTTTTGAAGTCAAATATTGGACCAGTAAAATCTAGCCATCAGCTTAAATTCCTATGATACAATTTACATACTCCCCAGGCTCAACACAGTAGATTTCTGAATGTCCTCTGCCAGCTACATGCTCCTGCCCACCTCAATCCGAGTAGATGGAACAACTAACCAAGCCAGCTCAGACCGGTGGCACAGCTGTGCTGGCTAACACTGGGCACCACCTAAGAGAGTGCTTCTCCAAAAGTGTGCTTCCCCAAATGGAGCGAAATACGCTTGAGGAATGTTGGGTTGAACCATGTAAAGCAGGTCTCATTCCCGCAGAGCCTTTGGTACCCCGGTGTACACTGTAACCCCAGAAGTGTTTCCTGAGCTTGCCTGACGAGACAACTTTTCCAAGAACCGTCTCAAGTGATGAGTGTTTTGTGAGTCACACTTTGGGGAAAGCGGGCCTAAGTTAGCATCTCCTCCCAGCTGCCTCCCTGCTTTCCCTGGAACACTAGGAACTGCCCGTCCTCCCTCCCTCCCTCCTCTTCCCACTTCACAACTTAGCATCAGGAATATTTTAGTTTTGGTTTTTCAAACATATATACCTCCTTTTTTCTTATCTTGTCAATATCATCTTTTTTTTTTCTTTGCTTTTCCTCATACTTTTTTTTCTCTTCATCCTTTCCTTCTCCAAGGGTTAACTTTCCACCTTAGGAGAATCTTTTCTGCTTTTTCTCCCACTTCCCCAGCTACTCTCTTATCATCTGCTCCAATCTCACCCTAATTGATCATTTTGGGAAAATATGGTCAGAGTCCAGATAACTAAGTTGAGAAATGCTTAAACTCTGCCATACCTTTCCAGTAAAGAATATTACCTAATAAATAATAAAATGGTAATGGGAAACCTGAACCCTGAAAAAAAAGAGGTGGAAGGAGAAACATTTGGAGCACATCCTGTCTACAAATTAGGAACTGCCTGTGTTATCTGTTTTATGGTTATATTCTAGAAGAAGAAAGGGATTTTGTAGCACCTGGTTTTGACCTTTCTGCACTGTTTGTTGAGCAAATAAACCTTATGGGCTGTTAGCCCTCTTTATAGCCTCTCAGCTTATCCCTGGCCCAGACACCCTGCTGTCATTTTGACTTTTCATTCCCACACACACATACACATGCACACACATGTACACACACACACATACCATTTAAGATTAGACAGAAGTAATGCTCAAAATGGAGTGGCTTCTGAGACATTTAGTCCAAGGGTTCCCAAACAGGCTTTTCAGTATCAGATTTCTTTCTGCCCCATTGAAATGCTACACAACCTTCCGCTTACAGCAGGTCACAAGGGTTTCATTCTACTTGAAGTAGGGGCCATGTCCCATTTCCACTTCCTTGGCTTCCCATTCAGTCACTGCTAGGATTTGCCTAGACCCCTGAGGCCAGACAATGTAGAAACTTCTGCTCCATGTCACAGGTGAGGAAACAGGCTCAGAGAGGGACAGGCTCCGAAAGTCACATAGACAACAGTAGGGCTGCGGCTCAAACCCCAGCGTCTGACTCCAGGTTTAGTGCCTTCTCAGGGCATCAGTGACACTCCTCATGGCCAGGGTGCCCCCAGTGTTGCTCACAGTCTGGTATCCAGGGCTGAGAGTGTGCTGTGTGCTCAGACTGCCTGGGTTCAGTCCTGGCACTGCCACTTTACAGTCAGTGACCTCAGGCAGGTTACTTAAGCTCTGCAGGCCTCAGTTTCCTCCTTGGTGGGGAGGGTTATGAGGCATCCTTCTCATGGTAAACCTTCAGTAAATACCAGCCGTTACTAGGAGGGTCCACTCCTGCCTCTCCACTCTCCATTCATCCTGCCTGTTTCCTCTGCCTGCTTCCTCTGCCTGCTTCTGTGGTGGTGAATTCTTCATGGCTCCCACCGCCTCCTGCTGCACCCCCACTCAGGGCCCGCATCAGGACCCTTCCTCCTATTGGTTTGAACTCCTTGGAGTCAGAGGGTAATGGATAGTGGAGTGAGCCAGGTGGCAGAATCTCAGAGGCCATCCCGGGCCTATAAGCCTCTTCAAAATAGGGCCACGTATCAAGCTTTACACACAGGAGTGAACTTTCACAAGTTGTTATGACTCATACTCTGTCTATAGTAAGCTGTTAACCACTCCCATTTGGCTTATGCCTCTGTAATTATTGTACTAACTTATATCTTAAAATAAGGATATTGAAGGAATGAGCCGGGAGAGGCTTTCCTGGTTGAGATATAGAAGAACAAGAGTTGCTCTTTTTCCTTAAGGTCTCTCCTCCCACCCCTGACCTTAGCTCACCAGCATGGGAGAATACTATTTGACTCCTTGTACTCTGAGACGTGGATTTCAAGATATAGCATTCCAACTTCAACGGCAGCAAGAAAAGAAGCAACAGAAGGAGAAGACATCATAGCAAACAGGGATGCATGCTGCATTTCCTAATACTCAAACCCGGAAACGAGACTTCACTCAAGGTGAAGGGAGGGCAGGTCACCACCTGGTAGCACTAGCCCTAAATTAAGGAATGCAGAATGTTTGTGGGATTGCCCATCATAAAAATTACAAAATGAGTAAGGAATGCAGGCACAGCTGGCCAGGTGGGTTTGTCACAACCATGGCAGCCCTTTGCCCCACAGCCAGTACACAGAACTGGTCTCTCCAATTCCGATTGCATATCTTCTGGCACCTCTGTTCCTCTCCCTCAGCTGCCCAGGATTTTTCTGGTTCTGACCATGTTACTTCCTCTTTTAAACCTGTTAGCATTTCACGACTGCCTACAGGCAACGGTCTAAATGGTCGGAAGGCCCAAGCTTAGCATCCGAGACCCTGACCTACCTCCAGCCACTTCCTCCTCCTCTCCACTTCACTGGACTCCCCATCTCCACCCAGACACCTCTGTTCTCCCCTCTGTGTGCCTTTGCTTATGCTGTCCCCTGTGTTCCTAGTGTGTCTCTGGCTATCTTTTAAGCTTCCCTCCCCAACCTCATTAGTTCTGTGGAGCCCCTGGAATAGAGCTGACTTCTCCTTCCCTGCTGCTCCCAGGCTGCTCAGAACTTTCTGGAAAGGGATGATTATCTGAGTTCCAGCCTCACCCCAGCCCCCGGACTCTGAGTCCCTCATGTCTGCCTCCCTTCTTTCTCTCTGACCACACAGCTGGTACATAGTCAGTACAGACGCAGTCAGTGAGTGGAGCACGGGGCTTCTCTCCAGGATTCCTGCCCCTTTGTTTATCCCTAGTCTCAGGACTCCCTACTCCTGGTCTTCTGCCTAAATCTGTGCCTCTTGGAAGTGAAGCCTCCGTTCCCAGTGGGGCCAGGTCCTGACCCTTGGGAACTTGCAGGATCCCTCCCTTGGGCCTCTCCCCGAAGCTTCCAGCTCAATGCTGACCAGAGCACAGGCTGCCTGTGACAGTCCTTGGGGTGACCTCCCTTATCAGGAAAAATGCAGAAAACCTATTAATACCTTAGCCTTGTGATTGTTAATGGTCACAAAACTCCTTTAGGGTCCTTTGGACTCAGCACCTTTATGGTCTCACTTTGAATTTTGAACCTCCCACCTCCCCCCATCCCCCAGAGTAAGGCAAATGGTCTTCTGATTGTTCCTGCAGAGGGAAGGCTCCACAGGTAAGCACACGATGGCCAGGAAGCAGAGCTGGAGCCTGCCTGAAAGGCTGTGGAGAAATGGAGGGAGGGCTGCCCTGAGGACTCTGTCTGGCTTTGAAGTTTTCTACTGTTTCCTTTTCTTCTGTGCACTGTTTTAGGATGATGGGGTGATAGTTCCAGGCTGGTTGAGGATGGATTTGGAGACAGTCCTTTGTACCCTCAGTGAGCAAGAGTATCTGTCACCCTACCTCAGCAGTTGTCTCTGTCACTGGTCCAAGCAGCTGGTTCCTACACAAGGTCAAGATCAACTGGGGAGAAGCAGACTCCTGGGTCTATCCCATTAGTGAGGACAGCTGCCTGGGCTTATGGCCTCATTGGTTTGGTTTCTATCTTGATCATCTCTACCATCCCCCCATCCCGGCCTTCCATTTTCTACCTCAGCTGTCAGTGCACAGATTGATGTGTGTGGGAACGGAGCTTGGGAGGAGTGGGGTAGGGCTGGTCCTGTCCTGTAGCCTCCCCTTCCTTCGGGCACTTGGACCCTTTGGAGCTTGCCGGGGTGGGGAATGGGAGTGGGAAGGCCAGGGAGTGTCTCTGCACCATCACTGTTTGAGTGTTGCCCCTTTGCTGTGTGCCCCACCTAGTCTATGTGTGTCTCTGTTCTCTGGGGACTCAATTTGCTGGTGAATTGCTTCCATGGACATTGTTCTGGGAAATGCCATTTTTTCTGCTCACCCATGACTCTGTGACAAGGAATGACAGCTTATTAGGAATTTGTTTTTGCATTGGAACAGTGGTCATCAGAATGGGCCCCTTTTCCCTTGCAGCTTTGACATTTGCCTCTCTTTTCCTCACCTCTCTCCCTTGCATCCACCCTTTTCTCTTTTTCTTCTTTTTTGTTTTCCTTCTAGCAGGGGCCTTTTACCTTTACTTGTTAATCCTGTTTGTAGCAAAGCAAGTGGAAGGAGGAGTTCCTCTCTGATCTGCTTCTTATTCTCCACCTACCTTCTCTTCTGTACTTTCCGCCTCCTAGAGAGAGAGAGAGAGAGAGGAATGCCGACCTAACTACCGCTGCCACTGCTGCTGCCACCACCGCTGCCACCACCACCCTGGTAATGTTCACATGTCCTCAAATCAACCCAGAGCCAGGGCCCTGCTGGTCAGGGGGAGGCTATGTAAATAATCCCATGAGTGTGCCATCCTCAGGCCCTGGGGTCTCCTAGGCAAGACCAGGGCCTCTGTGGGCTCTCTCGGAAATGCTGAGGTTGCTGGAAGCCAGCCCGTCATACAGGGTCTGAGAGTTTAACTTCTTTTAAATTAAACCACAGTTGAGCTCATGCTGTGTGTGTATAAACTTTTGTATCCTGCTTTTTCCTTAAATTCTTTATCATCAGCATCTTCCCATGTTATTTCATAGTCTTCATCATCATCACTTTCCATACCTTCATAGTAGTTGATCGTAGAATTCCATCATAATTAACTTGTCTTTTCTCTCTTAGAAGTCCCTTAGGTAATGTCCAATTTTCCGTGAGTGTAAGTAATACCATAATGAACATCTTGGAGTCTGAAGTTTATTCTGTGTTGGTTTGTTCCACATTTAGGATCATTTTCCCAGGCTAGATTTTCAGATGTGGGATTATGGGTTCAGATATGGTTTACACATTTTTATAGTTCTTAATACAGATGGCCAAATTGCTTTCTGAAAGAGAAGCTTTTCTTAAGTATTTTTCTCCAACTTGTATCTTAAACATCCTGAACATGCTTAGCACCACTGTCTTGATATATCTGCGGAAAGCCACGTCTCCACTTTTCAGTGTGTCGGGCCCTGGGAGAGGCAGGCATCCTGCGCTGGCTCCTTGGAGCTGGGTTTAAAATTGTCTCCTCTGGCTGGGCGTGGTGGCTCACACCTGTAATCCCAGTACTTTGGGAGGCCGAGGTGGGCGGATCACTAGGTCAGGAGATCGAGACCATCCTGGCTAACATGGTGAAACCCCGTCTCTACTAAAAATACAAAAAATTAGCCGGGCGTGGTGGCGGGCACTTGAAAAGTCCCAGCTACTCGGGAGGCTGAGGCAGGAGAATGATATGAACCCGGGAGGCGGAGCTTGCAGTGAGCCGAGATCGCGCCACTGCACTCCAGCCTGGGCGACAGAGTGAGACTCCATTTTAAAAAAACAAACAAACAAAACAAAAAAACAAACAAACAAAAACTGTCTCTTCTGTGCTCACTTCACCCAGAATCCCTGTTGGGCTCTTCAAGGAGCTCAGTTCTCTCTGAAAGCAACTTTATAGCCTCAGTCCAGTCTGTGTTCCTGTGTGGCAGGGGTCAAGGGTATGCTCACTCTTGAGAGTGGTGTCTTTGGTTGACCAAGAACCACTCCCATAGCCTGGTCCCTAACCCTTGAAGGCCCATCTCTCTCACTCACTGGGGTGAAGAGTTTAAATCTCAGATCCAAGTTTTGTTGAGAGCTCTGAGCTACCATATTGCTATGGTTAACAATAGTTAACAATGTTAACAATGGTTAACTATGGTTAACAATAGTTAACAATGTTTAACAACTAGAGCCCAGCTGGGTGTGGTGGCATGTGCTAACAGTCCCAGCTTCTCAAGAGGCTGAGGTGAGAAGATTGCTGGAGTCCAGGAGCTCAAGGCCAGCCTGGGCAACATGGCGAGACCCTGTCTCCCCTGCAAAAAAACAACAACAACAAAAGCAAAACTAGAGCCCAACTGCTGTGAACTCATGGCTGAGTAGATATTATTAGCCCTCCACAAACTCAGCATTTGTATAATCCCAGGCTGTTTCCAGTAATTCTCTGGGGATCATCTCCCAGCCTGTCCACTGTTCCAGGATCCACACTTAGGCCTATAGGAATGCCCCGTCAGAGCTTCTGCTGCCGCTGATCTGTTACTGTTTCATGCAACCCACTCGGCCTAGTTCCTTCCTCTTACTGTCTCAGTGGGCACAGAAAAGCATACAGAGGGTGTTTCAGCAAACATTGCCACTGGCTGCAGACCTGCCCCCGGATCTGTCCTGTTGAGAGCTTAGTGCTGCGTTCTTGCATGGTGGGGAGGGGTGTGGCTCTGTGATGAGCCAGGGCATGTGTATAGGAGCAACAGTGTCTCTCTTATCACGTAGAAGTTCTGACTCATTGCGAGTCTTGGCTTTGGGTTAATGGTTCCAGCCATGTTGCTGCTGTGTCTTTTGGTGCAGGAGAGGCTGGGCACAGTTGGTCCCTAAGCCATTATGGATAAGGGATGTGTCTGCTGATATACACACATGGACCTGACATCCAGGGAAGGCAGGGTGATTGGACAGAACAGTTCTTCCAGAAGCTGTTGGAACTTGGACAAGAGTGGCCCTTGGCTTTCTGTAGTTGGTCATCTGTCCCCTGTTGCAATCAGGGGAAGGCCACACTTGCCTTCCTTAACCACAGTTAGGATTTTCTTGGGGATTAGACCAGATTCTAGCACCTGTCCTGAACCTCTCGCCCCGCCCCTACAAAGGCTGCTTGCAAGTGTAGTGCACATACACAGGGAGCAGGTGGGGCATGGAAGTGGAAGTGGAGCCCCTGCCTTTGGCCCTTGGGGGAGGCACTGTCTGCTTACCCACGGTTGTTGCCTCATAGGAATCATACAACAGCTTCCTAACTGGTCTCCTTGCCTTCAGTTGGATTGGGGCACAAATCCCTCCTTGACATATAAACCATGGTTTAAGGCTCCCTGTGGCCTAAATAAAGATAAAGCTTAAGTATCTTAACAAGCACCTAACCCTTCTCCCCAGCCTCGGTGATTTGGCTCATCGCTGCCTTCATGTTTCATTCTGGCTTCACTCATTCGGAATTTCTTGTAGTTCCTTGGCTGTTCTCTTTTCCTTACCGCCTTTACAAATGCTCTCACCATGCATGCTTTTCTCTGCTCCTACAGATGCCTTCTCTCCCAGCACCGCCTCCAGAGTCTATGTCTGGTCGATTCTGTCTGCTGTCTCCAGTCCCCATCTTGTGGCAGTCTCTGCTCAATCATTTGGGGATTTTATATGTTTTCTGGCCTTTCTTTTGGGGGCCTGTCTTCTCCTTCTAAAAGCAGCCAGTTGACCTAGAAGGAAGGGATAACTGTAACTCTTGTCTACCAACATAAGATTAGGCCCACCCTTTAAAAGCTGCGTCTTTGAAAGGGACACCTGCACCCAGCATGCTGGCTTCTCTTCACCAAGCGTGACTTCCTACGCATTTCACAGGCCTCCAGAGGTCCCCCTGACTCTCTTCTGCTGTGAGAAACTCTAATCATGTAAGCCACAGGCTAATTCCCTTGAGCCTTAAATGTTTTTAGTAATTTCCCATTCATCAGAGAAGCAGGATTTGGGAGGAATTTTGAAGCAAACACTACAGAAGGCAGAGTCTCCAGGTAGGATATCTAAGAGACATTTGGAATGGTCTGACTGTTCAAGATGGATGGGAAAGCCTCTTCCTGTAATGATAGTAGCCAACATTTGTTGTCAGGCAGTGGGGCCCCATTTTTGAGATGGGGTCTCTGTCACCCAGGTTGGAGTGCGGTGGTGCTGTCATGGCTCACTGCAACCTCAGCCTCCCCGGGCTGGGTCTTCTTAATTCTGAAAAACCCAGCTTTTAAAGGGTGGACCTAATCTTATGTTGGTAGACAATGTTGTCTCATTTAATACAATGCACATGCTCTCCCCATAACACAAAAGAGGGAACTGAGGCCTGGAGGTGTGATGTACCCCAAGTCACATAGCTAATAAATAAAGAAGCCAGCATTCCTGGGATTAAAAATGCATGTGTCTGTCACTGTGGTGTATTTGGTGCTTGATCAATGTTTACTTGAGCAAATGGAGGGGCAGAGGTACCGATGAGTGTGCTCAGTGAGGAGGGCAGGAGTGAAGCTGGGCGTCTTCCCGCCTCTTGTGAGTGGTGGGGCTTGGTGAGCTTGCCAGGGCCTGTCTTTCTTATCAAAGAAGGTGTGTGCCCCAGTGTTACAGCATTTCACCCAAAGCAGCCTAGAAAATGCTTGACTTTTCTGTCATTCCGGGGAGGACACTTTCCTCCTCCACTGTTCTGCTGGCCTGGTGTACCCACGGCCCCTGATAGATGATAGCACCTGCTAAAGTGCACCATGCCCTTCCGTCTCACTGCATCCCACAGATGAGGCCAGGCTGGGATGAGGGAGAAAGGGAGGGATATATAGTTCAGGTTATTTTGGAAAACTGCCTGACCAATTTTAAGTCTGGGCCGGACACTGGGGCATCTCACCACGTTGAAAGGGCCGTGGCACCCCGGGCGGTGAAAGGGGCTGGAACCAGGTCTGCTTCTTGGGCTTCTCCTCCAGGGTGCCATTGCTCATGGGCCTTGGCTGCAGAGGTGCTCATTCGTGGTTCCAAAATTCCAATTCCTGGGAGAGGAAAAATGCTTAGTTCAGTCTCAGTTAGGCCTCTGCTTAGATCAAACAGCCAAGGCCAGTAGGCCCAGTCCTATGGTAGAGACATGGCCTCAAAGAGCCCTCTGCTGCAGTTGTTGGGGAGTGTACCAAGAGAAGGGAGCATTGTCCTGGGCTGGGCAGCCCTGGGGGTCTAGTGCATAGATGTAGAAAGGCTCTGTTGGTATACCTCCCTTTGCTTGTTGGAAAGTGCTCAACGGGGCTGAATTGTGTTTGACAGTGTAAGTCTGGGCTGGGGTGAGGGTTGTTACAAGATTGTCAAGATGATTAAATGAAATGCCATTTGAAACACTTATCCATGCCTTGTGTATGGTATCCCCACCAGTGAATATTCACAGTATATTATAATAATTCCAACAACTTCATAATTTTCATATGCAATTTCTAAACTTTGAACTTTTTTTTTTTTTTTTTTTTTTTTGAGACAGTGTCTCGCTCTGTTGCCCAGGCTGGAGTGCAGTGGCGCAATCTTGGCTCACTGCAACCTCCACCTCCCGGCTTCAAGTGATTCTCCTGCCTCAGCCTCCTGAGTAGCTAGGAATCCAGGCGCCCGCCACCACACCCAGCTAATTTTTGTATTTTTAGTAGAGACGGGCTTTCGCCATGTTGGCCAGGCTGGTCTCAAACTCCTGACCTGAGGTGATCCACCGCCTTGGCCTTCCAAAGTGCTAGGATTACATACGTGAGCCACTGTGCCCGGCAATTTTTTGTGTTTTTAGTAGAGATGGGGTTTCACCATGTTGGCCAGGCTGGTCTCGAACTCCTGACCTCAAGTGATCTGCCCGCCTCAGCCTCCCTAATGCTGGGATTACAGGTGTGAGCCACCACGCCCAGCCTAAACTTTGAATTTCTTTGAACCCATGACTTACACAGAATTAGCTGAACGCAGAATTCCAAATCAACTCAGCCTGTGGGACAGCCAAAAAACACAGTGTGCCTTTGGGCTCCTTCACTCACCACGCGGGGTTAGAAAACTTTGTCAGAGGCTTTAAAAAAGGAGCTCTTGTGTGTAAAATGTTTCCTTGATTCTCTTTCTGGTGCCTCTCTTTCTCTAAGTGGTTTGCTTCCCCAAGTTCCCCACCTGAGTCTGGGTGGCTGTGGCACATCTGTGCATTCTGTACGCACACAGGCAGCCTTTTGGAGTGCCAGTTTCCAGGTCTTGGTTTTATTTATTTATTTATTTATTTTTTTGAGATGGGGGTCTCACTCTGCCGCCCAGGCTGGAGTGCAGTGGTGCCGTCATGGCTCACTGCAACCTCAACCTCCCTGGGATCAGTTGAGCCTCCTACCTCAGCCTCCAGAGTACTAGGGACCACCATGCCTGGCAAATTTTTGTAATTTTTTGTAGAGGCAGAGTCTCACCATGTTGCTCAGGCTGGTCTCGAGCTCCTAGACTCAAGTGATCTGCCCACCTTGGCCTCCCAAGTGTTAGGATTACAAGTGTGAGCCACCATGCCCAGCCCAGGTCATCTTTTGAGGGCATGGAGAGAAGACTTTGAGCATCCCACTTTTGAGATTGTGTACCAGTCGCAAGCCCCTATGACACACTTTTTCCCCAAAGTAGAGGGCTCTGACTATGTTGATCCCAAGAGAGATGGGAAAGAGCATTGAATGAGGATTCCAAAGTATTGGGCCTTAGTTCGTTTCCTCATGTTGGTGTTGTGAAGATTCTGGTTAGGATAACAGCATGTGTGCAGGAGGCTTTGTGAACTGCTGAGAGTGAGGCGTGGCAATGTCAGTGCTAGGTTTGTCCTTACTAACCTGGGGCCATGGGAATTGATAAGACCAGATTCCCAACTCTACCCCACAATGTGATCCCTGTGGTGACCCCTCACAGGGCTCTTTGGTCGAGCTTCCCAGAAGGGATCACCATCTGCCATTGTATGTTGAACCCCATTCATTCATTCATTCATTCAGCCAACCAGCAACTATTTGTTGAGCTCTTATTGTGTGAGAAGCAGTCTTCAAGGAACTGGGTGAATAAAAAAAACAAAACATCCTAACCTTCATTGAGCTTACATTCTTACTGAAAGAAAACAAATAAAACATACATGTAATCCTAGCACTTTGGGAGGCCAAGGCAGGCGGATCACTTGAGGTCAGGAATTTGAAACCAGCCTGGCCAACGTGAAACCCATCTCTACTGAAAATTAAAAAAAAAAAAAAAAAAAAGCCGGGCATGGTGGCACATGCCTGTAATCCCAGCTACTCGCGAGGCTAAGGCAGGAGAATCGCTTGAATCCTGGAGGCAGAGGTTGCAGTGAGCCAAGATCATACCATTATACTCCAGCCTCAGTGATGAAGCAAGACTCCATCTCAAAAATAAAAAATAAAAATAAAAATATGCATTCCCTTTGCACCAGCACACTTGGTGCCTGGGGACCTCGTGGTTGGCACCCTGAAGCAGGTGTCCCTCTTCTGTCTTGCACACCTTGCTTCTGTCCTGGTGTGTATGGCATGGCCTTCTGCCCTCCATGGTGAGCACTGTGAGGGCAGAGGTTGAGTTGGGTTTGCTGTATTTCTCAGGTGCCTAGGTTTGTGCTTGACAGGTAGATGGAAGGCACACAATGTGGTCATCAAACCTCAGTCAACCATATAAGGAAGGTAGAAGTGAAAAGTCCCATAGGTACCCAACTAATGTCACCAGTTTCCTGGATACCTTTCCTGGAGTTTATTTATAGTGTGTATAAATAAATGATGTATGTGTTTAAATGCCTTTTTCACCTTTCCTTTTAGAGCTGCCTCTTTTTAACAGTTCCATTCCATTGTATGGATGTACTATGATTTATTGAACCAGTTCCCTACTGATTATTCTGTTTTTTGCAGTCTTTTGTTATGATGAACATTCCACAGTGACAATGTTGTTCATAGTCATTCACACACATGCAAGTCCTTCTGCAGGATATATTTCTAGAGGGGAATTGCTGACTCAGAGGTTTTGGTACTCTGTGTTGATTGTAGAGTGACGGCAGAAAAGTGAGGCCCAAGAGTTTCCTAGTGACCATGTGTAGTGGACAAGTCACCAGTCCCTGTGAGTGTTTGGCCCAAAGGCTTTAAGGCATTTGATATCACTGTTTTTGTTTCTGCACCAGGCGGGAGACACTATATTCAATCGTGCTAAGCTCCTCAATGTTGGCTTTCAAGAAGCCTTGAAGGACTATGACTACACCTGCTTTGTGTTTAGTGACGTGGACCTCATTCCAATGAATGACCATAATGCGTACAGGTGTTTTTCACAGCCACGGCACATTTCCGTTGCAATGGATAAGTTTGGATTCAGGTAAGAGATACTCAGTCAGAATCTGTGGTAAACATGTCTCTCTCATGTGTTGACTAGGAAATGCAGTCCTGGCAGCTCAAGAGTGCCTCTTTAAGCTCTGGAGCAGAATGCCTCCTCTGAGAAATGGGTGCTTTGTATTAGTTGAGATGGAAAGAAGAGACCAGAAATGCCTGTAGTCTCTGCACATCCAGACAAAAACAAATTTTCCCCCCTTTTTTTTTTTTGTTTGTTTTTTGAGACAGGGTCTGGCTCTGTCACCCAGGCTGGAGTGCAGTGCCGTGATCTTGGCTCACCGCAACCTCTGCCTCCCGGGTTCATGCCATCCTGTCACCTCAGCCTCCTGAGTAGCTGGGACTACAAACACTTGCCACCATGCGCAGCTAATTTTTGTATATTTTGTAGAGATGGGGTTTTGCTGTATTGCCCAGTCTGGTCTCGAACTCCTGAGCTCAAGCAATCCATCTGCCTTGGCCTCTCGAAGTGCTGGATTATAGGCATGTGGCACCATGCCTGGCCTAAGAACAGTTTTTAGCATTTGGGAGGGGCTCTCATCTTTAAGCTCCAAATGATACTGTATTTTCTTGCTTTTTTCTTTCTCTTGCCCCACAAGTTTTGGAAAGTAAATTGGAATAGTTTTCCCCCACTGAATTATTTAGCTTGTATACCTCAGCAGATGTTCCTTGGCCTGTTTTGTTTTGTTTTTGAGACAGGGTCTTGCTCTGTCACCCAGGCTGGAGTGCAGTGACACAATCATGGCTCACTGCAGCCTTGACTGCCTGGGCTCAATCCATCCTGCAGCCTCAGCCTCCTGAGTAGTTGGGACTACAGGCATGAGCCAGCATGTCCAGCTAATTTTTTATTTTTAGTGGAGATGAGGTCTGGCTATGTTGCCCAAGCTGGGCTTGAACTCTTGGGCTCAAGTGATCCTCTCACCTCAGCCTTCCAAAGCATTGGGATTACAGGTGTGAACCACTGCTCCCGCCCTTGGCCCTATAAGAAGGAATGTGATTCTGTTTTCCAGCAGGGCACAAACTTCTGCTTAAATACAAAGCCCAAATTTTTCCACCAAAATGCCCCTAGTGAAGTGGCCAGCCCAGATGCCCGACTAGCGTATTATCCAAAGCATATTGTCATTGGTGGAAAATGGCCTTATAGTCCATTGTTTTGTCTTAAAAGTAAATATATAAATAAACTTGTATATTGTTTCCTAATTCCGTGTTTATATTAACATAAAAGTGTTTTAAATTACCTGTCAGTGGCCAGGTGCAGTGGCTCGTGCCTGTAATCGCAGCACTTTGGGAGGCCGAGGCGGGCAGATCACCTGAGGTCAGGAGTTCGAGACCAGCCTGACCAGCATGGTGAAACCCTGTCTCTACTAAAAATACAAAAATTAGCCAGGTGTGGTGGCAGGTGCCTGTAATCCCAGCTACTCGGGAAGCTGAGGCAGGAGAATTGCTTGAACCCGGGAGGCAGAGGTTGCAGTGAGTTGAGATCGCGCCATTGAACTTCAACTTGGGCAACAGAGCAAGACTCTGTCTCAGAGAAAGAAAAAAAAAAACCTATCAGTTGAATAACAAAACCCTTTCCTTCCTTGCTTTAAGTGAATCTGAAGATCCAGGAGCTGTGCTGCAGGTACCCTCTATGTTGGGTACCCCTGGTTTAGGCTGACTAGTACAGTGTGGTTGGCTCATGTAGACAGCAGACCCTTTATTTTAGATACAACTTTTTTTCTTTTTCTTTTATTTTTTTTGAGACAGAGTCTTGCTTGTCACCCAGCCTGGAGTGCAGTGGCGTGATCATGGCTCACTATAGCCTTAAACTCCCTGGCTCAAGTGATCCTCTCACCTCGGCTTTCCTAGTAGCTGGGACCACAGGTGTGGGCCAGCACCCCTGGCTGATTTAAAAAAAAAAAAATTTTTTTTTTTAGAGATGTCTCACTATGTTACCCAGGCTGGTCTTGAACTCCTGGGGGCTCAAGCAATCCTCCTGCTTTGACCTCCCAAAGTGCTGGGATGACAGGCATGAACTACTGCACCTGCTGAGATGCAACAGCTTTCTGTCAGACTCATTTTATTCTCATCATTTCTTCCTGTCCTCCCTTGCTGGGAGCATGAGAGCTGTGATGGGAATATAGGAATGTATGAAGTCCTTCTCCCAGATCAAAAATCCTAACTTCTTGTCTTAAAGGGAGGAAAATTTGAATGTAACCTTACTTTTAGACTCTTCAGAAATCCTTCTATACCCTTCCGTCCCCGCTTTCACCCTTCCTCCCTCTCCGTGTGTGTATCTTCTTCTCTTGAAACACACAGGTTTATACCCTGACCCCTCTTGATTCATCCCTTGAAGCACAGTGGTGAACAAGGAAGGGGCCCGTGATGCCCTAATTCTTTGCCACAGCACCATGTTTGTTTCACAAGGAGCCTGGCAGGTTTGGGCTTGGGGCAGATAGGGGAGAGAAAGCAGCAGAGACAGCAAAACCAAATCATGTCAGCTTGGCATGTACTTCCCTCTGAAATAGCTAAGAATCCATTTCTGTAAAAGCACTGATTATCAGAAAACCTTATTGGCCTGGCCACCTTTGGTTCAAACCCTCACATTAATAATGTGGACAGTAGTATGAGGTGTGCCAAAGGTGGATGACTCAGCACCTAAGTGATGACACCTAATTACGAATAGGTTCATTAAAGCAGACCCCCTGGGGACCTTTGCTTGAGGATCCTTACAGTCAGAATTCCTGAATATATTTGAAAATAATAATTGCATCTTTATTTTCATATGTTCTGTATGGTTTGGCTGACTTCCCCCTCAAAGTCTGAGTTAGAGTTTTCCTTAATTTATGTGATGGGTTTGGTCTTTTTGGATTCCAGAAAGAGCTGGGTGTGGTTTGGAGCTGCACTCAGAGTCACACAAAACCACAGCCTTTAGAGAACCCACAGGAAGGCTTTGGGGCACGTCCTGATTCTTGACATTTCTCATCAGTGCTGACTTTGTATCCCTTAGGAGTTCACAATTCATAACCACTGAAATATTAAAATACAAAAAGTTTTGGAAGGATGAGAGCCCAGATGCTCTACTACTTGAAAATATGTTAAAACATAAGTTCATCATTATACATTTTGCTAAATCAGGATAAAGTCTGAAGTTTCAAAGAAGTTTTATTTTAGCAAATTTTCAGAAACACTGCCTCAACTGTTAGGGCCAGTGTTCTAGTCAGTATGCCTTTGGAAGCATGAAAGCTGGATTGGTCGATAGGATGGGTGTGGAAGGGGGGCTGTGACTGGGTGGGTACAGAGAGGCTCTGAAACAATCTCAGATTCCAGGAGTTCCTGGATAAGGACTTCATGTGCGGGAACAGAGCACAGGAGAAGCAGATTCCTGAGCCACTCAGGAAGAACTGGGCCTAGGCCTGCTCTTGTCACTGACTGGCTTTCTACATAACCACAGAAACAGCACTGTGTTGTAGAAAGAGGAAGATCATACTTTTTGATATCTGTGTCTAATTTAAGGTCATCTGAGCCCTGATAGAAAAGCAAAACAGACAAAACCCTTGTAACTGCTCCCTCCCACCCCACCCACCATCAAAAAAGCTTTAGAGAGGCTGGACATGGTGGCTCTTGCCTGTGATCCCAGCACTTTGGGAGGCTAAGGTGGGTGGATCACCTGAGGTCAGGAGTTCGAGACCAGCCTGACCAATATGGTGAAACCCCATCTGTACTAAAAATACAAAAATTAGCCAGGTGTGGTGGCACACGCCTGTAGTCCCAGCTACTTGGGAGGCTGAGACAGGAGAATTACTTGAAAACCTGGGAGGCGGAGGTTGCAGTGAGCCGAGATCACGCCATTGTACTCCAGCCTGGGCTACAGAGCGAGACTCCTTCAAAAAAAAAAAAAAAAAAAGATCCGGTTTGGTGTCTTACAACTGTAATCCCAGCACTTTGGGAGGCCGAGGCCGGTGGATCACGAGGTTAAGAGATCAAGACCATCCTGACCAACATGGTGAAACCCTGTCTCTACTAAAAATTAGCTGGGCGTGGTGGCAGGCGCCTGTAGTCCCAGCTCCTCAGGAGGCTGAGGCAGAAGAATCGCTTGAACCCGGGAGGCGGAAGTTGCAGTGAGCCTAGATCGCGCCCCTGCACTCCAGCCTGGCAACAGAGCAAGACTACGTCTCAAAAAAAAAATAAATAAAAACTCTAGAGAAGCAAAAAGAATAACTTTAAAAGTGTTTATGTTCTCAGCAAGCTTTATTTTGGGGATGTCAGAACTTAACTAACCACTGCTCCTTCTGTGTGTATGTTTTTCCTCCAGCCTACCTTATGTTCAGTATTTTGGAGGTGTCTCTGCTCTAAGTAAACAACAGTTTCTAACCATCAATGGATTTCCTAATAATTATTGGGGCTGGGGAGGAGAAGATGATGACATTTTTAACAGGTAATGGTCATAACTTAGATATCTTTCTCCTCTGTCAACCTTCACTTCCAGTTTTTTAACCAATGCTTGGTTGTTCCCCAAGGACTGACCCTCAGATGGGATGCACCCCTAGTCAGCCCACATTCTTAGGTGTGGCTTCCTACAGGTCCTGCAGGTGCTAAAAGGGATCTGTAGGAAAATGAGTTTCTGAGATTTTTGTATTGGCCTGGAAAAATGTCAAATGGGAACCAAGTGACGGGGCAAGTTTACTTTGACTTGCTGCATGCCGTTTTGTACTCAAGGAGTAAACCAATGTCCTTTGTAAAAATCCCTCCTTTCATTATGGTCCCCTTTCACTGTGAAACAAGTTTCCTTGAGCAGAATCCTAACTGTCTTCACAGAAGCTTTGTGTTATATTTTTATTTTGGAGTATTTTCACATATACAAAAGAGATACTGTAGTATAATAAACCTTTGAGGACCTATCCAGCCCCAGCAACCATTATGGCCTGGTCAGTTCTGTCCCATCCACATCCTGGGGCTCTTTTTAAGCTGGTAAATCATTATGATGTGGGTTGTCATTTACAGTGGTAAAAAACATCTATCAGTAGCATTTGAAAGAACATTCTGCTCAGTCCTCTGGCTGTAGAGGCTTCAACCCCACCAGCCACCGATGAGCACCTTCTCCCTCCAGGAGCCAGTCTGAGCTCATTACTGAGTTTAATATCAGAATACACCCTGGTGCAGCCTTTCTAAATTGCAGTACCAGTTAACAGAAGGTGTCTGTCAGAGCAACACCCAAGTCATTCAAGTTACCATTGTGTGCAAACTTAACAGAGACCCACGTCTTCAATATAAGCCTTGAAGGAAACTCCAGTTTTAGTATGTAGATGGGGTATCAAGTGTGTGCACATTGAACATCTGCTGCATACAGAGCACTGTGCCAGGCAGGCCCAGGACACTGAAAACCTGGACATAGGGTCCAGACAGAAGCAAGCCTGCTTCCACAGAGGCACTCCTGGGCAGACACTCTGGACTGATATGACAGTGTGCAGGGCCGACAGGATACCACAGGTCTGAATGGTCAGAACAGCTGGGGAGGGAGGGAGCATCCGCAGGCATCTAGTCCCATGCTAACGCAGTGGCACTAGAAGGATGGGTGGTGTGTGGAGCAACTTTCTTGAAAGATAAAGGACCTAACACTTTCTATGCACCACTTACTGTGTGCCAGGCAAGGCCAGGAATGTTTAAGTGGTCTGGGATCAGCCAGTTCTGCCTCTTAACTAACTTTGCTGTCCTGCTCTCCAGGCTTTCATTTTGGTCCTCATTCCTTTTCCTTGGACCAACACAGAATCCTCCACCCTGTTCTGGCTGCCTCTAGTCTTGTTCTCAGCCCTCCATTTGTTTTTTTCTGCCTTTTCCCACATGTTCTGAAGCCCTCCATTCGTATACTACTTTCCAGAGACTTCCCCATGGCTAAAAGCATTTTGGAAATACTGTATATTAGGCCCCTTTCAGATACTGGCAACCGTTTGTGGGATGCTCTGAGAAGGCCTCTGTGACTTAGCCTGGCCCTTTTCAGCCCATCACCTGCCACGTCCTACCCCAGACCCTTGTCACCAGTCCCCAGGAGCTTACGTTGCTCCCTGAGGGCACTAGGCTTGCTCTCACTTCCATGCCTTTGCCTGTGCCATCCTGGCTGCCCAAAATGCTATGGCAGATACCTGTTCATCCTCAACTGGGCTCTGCCTAGGCTTGCTCCAGCAGAGGTTACAAACTCTATGCTTCTTCCTCTGTGTCTCCAACCTCATCTTCCTCTTCTCACCTCCATCCTGGCCCTAAAGGCCCTATGTTTGAAGCATTCACACTGTATATTCTGTGGGGCACACGGCCCCAGTGTCTGGCACATGGTAGTCAACACCACAAACCGCAGAACCAGTTGTAAAAGGACATGGAGTCGGAATGTGAGTTTTAACCAGGGTCATGCTGGGCTGGGTTCTGGCATGATGCTGGGTTGTGGGCTGAGTGAGAACAGCAAGGGTGATGGTGGATGGAGCAACAGTCTTGCAGCCGGGGCTCTCAGGCCAAGTGTATGGCAGCTCTGTGATAATGACTTTCCCTTTACTCTTTGCAGATTAGTTTTTAGAGGCATGTCTATATCTCGCCCAAATGCTGTGGTCGGGAGGTGTCGCATGATCCGCCACTCAAGAGACAAGAAAAATGAACCCAATCCTCAGAGGTGCATTCTTTGTTTATTCATACTCCTTCCCCCTTTAGGATGAGGTAGGCTGCAGGTCCGAGGCTCTGGGCCTAGAGGGAAATTGAGGTGGTCAGGTTACAGTGGAGAGGGAGGAGGAAGTACGTGTGATGATTTCTTCTTAAGATTTTTGTTTTAAGACAATCTCCTTGTGCTCTTTTCCTTGTAGGTTTGACCGAATTGCACACACAAAGGAGACAATGCTCTCTGATGGTTTGAACTCACTCACCTACCAGGTGCTGGATGTACAGAGATACCCATTGTATACCCAAATCACAGTGGACATCGGGACACCGAGCTAGCGTTTTGGTACACGGATAAGAGACCTGAAATTAGCCAGGGACCTCTGCTGTGTGTCTCTGCCAATCTGCTGGGCTGGTCCCTCTCATTTTTACCAGTCTGAGTGACAGGTCCCCTTCGCTCATCATTCAGATGGCTTTCCAGATGACCAGGACGAGTGGGATATTTTGCCCCCAACTTGGCTCGGCATGTGAATTCTTAGCTCTGCAAGGTGTTTATGCCTTTGCGGGTTTCTTGATGTGTTCGCAGTGTCACCCCAGAGTCAGAACTGTACACATCCCAAAATTTGGTGGCCGTGGAACACATTCCCGGTGATAGAATTGCTAAATTGTCGTGAAATAGGTTAGAATTTTTCTTTAAATTATGGTTTTCTTATTCGTGAAAATTCGGAGAGTGCTGCTAAAATTGGATTGGTGTGATCTTTTTGGTAGTTGTAATTTAACAGAAAAACACAAAATTTCAACCATTCTTAATGTTACGTCCTCCCCCCACCCCCTTCTTTCAGTGGTATGCAACCACTGCAATCACTGTGCATATGTCTTTTCTTAGCAAAAGGATTTTAAAACTTGAGCCCTGGACCTTTTGTCCTATGTGTGTGGATTCCAGGGCAACTCTAGCATCAGAGCAAAAGCCTTGGGTTTCTCGCATTCAGTGGCCTATCTCCAGATTGTCTGATTTCTGAATGTAAAGTTGTTGTGTTTTTTTTTAAATAGTAGTTTGTAGTATTTTAAAGAAAGAACAGATCGAGTTCTAATTATGATCTAGCTTGATTTTGTGTTGATCCAAATTTGCATAGCTGTTTAATGTTAAGTCATGACAATTTATTTTTCTTGGCATGCTATGTAAACTTGAATTTCCTATGTATTTTTATTGTGGTGTTTTAAATATGGGGAGGGGTATTGAGCATTTTTTAGGGAGAAAAATAAATATATGCTGTAGTGGCCACAAATAGGCCTATGATTTAGCTGGCAGGCCAGGTTTTCTCAAGAGCAAAATCACCCTCTGGCCCCTTGGCAGGTAAGGCCTCCCGGTCAGCATTATCCTGCCAGACCTCGGGGAGGATACCTGGGAGACAGAAGCCTCTGCACCTACTGTGCAGAACTCTCCACTTCCCCAACCCTCCCCAGGTGGGCAGGGCGGAGGGAGCCTCAGCCTCCTTAGACTGACCCCTCAGGCCCCTAGGCTGGGGGGTTGTAAATAACAGCAGTCAGGTTGTTTACCAGCCCTTTGCACCTCCCCAGGCAGAGGGAGCCTCTGTTCTGGTGGGGGCCACCTCCCTCAGAGGCTCTGCTAGCCACACTCCGTGGCCCACCCTTTGTTACCAGTTCTTCCTCCTTCCTCTTTTCCCCTGCCTTTCTCATTCCTTCCTTCGTCTCCCTTTTTGTTCCTTTGCCTCTTGCCTGTCCCCTAAAACTTGACTGTGGCACTCAGGGTCAAACAGACTATCCATTCCCCAGCATGAATGTGCCTTTTAATTAGTGATCTAGAAAGAAGTTCAGCCGAACCCACACCCCAACTCCCTCCCAAGAACTTCGGTGCCTAAAGCCTCCTGTTCCACCTCAGGTTTTCACAGGTGCTCCCACCCCAGTTGAGGCTCCCACCCACAGGGCTGTCTGTCACAAACCCACCTCTGTTGGGAGCTATTGAGCCACCTGGGATGAGATGACACAAGGCACTCCTACCACTGAGCGCCTTTGCCAGGTCCAGCCTGGGCTCAGGTTCCAAGACTCAGCTGCCTAATCCCAGGGTTGAGCCTTGTGCTCGTGGCGGACCCCAAACCACTGCCCTCCTGGGTACCAGCCCTCAGTGTGGAGGCTGAGCTGGTGCCTGGCCCCAGTCTTATCTGTGCCTTTACTGCTTTGCGCATCTCAGATGCTAACTTGGTTCTTTTTCCAGAAGCCTTTGTATTGGTTAAAAATTATTTTCCATTGCAGAAGCAGCTGGACTATGCAAAAAGTATTTCTCTGTCAGTTCCCCACTCTATACCAAGGATATTATTAAAACTAGAAATGACTGCATTGAGAGGGAGTTGTGGGAAATAAGAAGAATGAAAGCCTCTCTTTCTGTCCGCAGATCCTGACTTTTCCAAAGTGCCTTAAAAGAAATCAGACAAATGCCCTGAGTGGTAACTTCTGTGTTATTTTACTCTTAAAACCAAACTCTACCTTTTCTTGTTGTTTTTTTTTTTTTTTTTTTTTTTTTTTTGGTTACCTTCTCATTCATGTCAAGTATGTGGTTCATTCTTAGAACCAAGGGAAATACTGCTCCCCCCATTTGCTGACGTAGTGCTCTCATGGGCTCACCTGGGCCCAAGGCACAGCCAGGGCACAGTTAGGCCTGGATGTTTGCCTGGTCCGTGAGATGCCGCGGGTCCTGTTTCCTTACTGGGGATTTCAGGGCTGGGGGTTCAGGGAGCATTTCCTTTTCCTGGGAGTTATGACCGCGAAGTTGTCATGTGCCGTGCCCTTTTCTGTTTCTGTGTATCCTATTGCTGGTGACTCTGTGTGAACTGGCCTTTGGGAAAGATCAGAGAGGGCAGAGGTGGCACAGGACAGTAAAGGAGATGCTGTGCTGGCCTTCAGCCTGGACAGGGTCTCTGCTGACTGCCAGGGGCGGGGGCTCTGCATAGCCAGGATGACGGCTTTCATGTCCCAGAGACCTGTTGTGCTGTGTATTTTGATTTCCTGTGTATGCAAATGTGTGTATTTACCATTGTGTAGGGGGCTGTGTCTGATCTTGGTGTTCAAAACAGAACTGTATTTTTGCCTTTAAAATTAAATAATATAACGTGAATAAATGACCCTATCTTTGTAACTGCAGGTGGTTTCTGTTTGCCAGGTGTAAGGGTTGTCATGGCTGTGGGATGGGGTGGGGACAGGGTCATTCCCTGGTCTGTGACCCATACAAATACACATGCCTCCCTGGAATCAGACATTTCCCCATCTGAACTTCATTCTCTTATCTGTAAAATGGGAATAATAACACATAGGGACTTTTTTGAGGCTTAAAAGTGACGATATATGTAAAACAATGACTAATGCCTCACAAGTACTCACTACATAGTAGCTAGTGCCATTTCAAAGTAGAATTTTTTTCCCCTAGCAGTTCTTGGGCCACATTCTGCTATTTTCAACAGATACCAGGATCATTCAGATGTAGATCTCAGGGCCATTTGCACCAGGTGCTCACAGTGTAACTTGAAGGGAATTATCCAAAATGAGGTTTCTTGTCAGTCTCAGGAAATGTAACCATAAGCTCTAAAAGGTCTTAGTTTTTACCCAGGTGCCTCCTCCTTGGTGGCCCTGGGTCAGGCTGGTTGGATTGAATTGGCACTCCTGAAGAAGGGCTGCAGGAAACCAGTGAGCAGGAGAGCCACCCTTGGCAGGGAGCTGCAGGCCCTGCCTGCATGTCACTGCTGGAGGGATCCCTGGTGACCTCAGGCCTGTGCAAAGGTGGCCTGGGGTTCAGATCTGGCCTTCAAACAGGACAACTCTGGTCCTTTGGACAAAATGCTGCCTTAGAGGGTCTGACAAAATTAAAAACAAACAAAAAAAAACCTGTTTCTTTCCTTCTCACACACCACCACTCACAACACTTCAGTTCTGCCCCTAGATATGTAGGGATTTCTCCCCACCAACAAGCAGTTTTCTAGTGGACACTAGCTGGGTGTCCTACAGTTTAACTCAATTCTGACACTGTCTGCCTGGAGATAGCAACGGATCCCACAGGTTGAGGGCTCAGTCTCACAAGACTGCCTCCACTGCAGATGCCAGTCACAAGTAGTTGGTTGTGACCTATGCTTTACAAAAATGTTTTTTGGATACAGGGCCTTGCTGTGTCACCCAGGCTGGCCTGAAACTCCTGGGCTCACACAATCCTCCCGCCACAACTTAGAAGTAGCTGAGCTGCAGGTTTATACCACTCACCCAGCTATAGTTGTGACCTATACTTCTGACCAACCAGCTATAAATTGGGGTTTCTATGAGCCTCTTCTTGGGTTTAATTTGCTAGGTCAGCTTACAGAACTCAGTGTAACACTTAACATTTACTGGTCTTATTATAAGTGATATTAGAAAGGATACTGATGAAGAACCGGATGGAGAGATGCATAGGGCAAGGCATGGGGGAGGGGGAGAGAAGCTTCCATGCCCTCTCCAGGGGCTCCACCCTCCAGACACCTCCACGTGTTCAGCTATCTGGAAGCTCATCTGACCCTGTCCTTCTGGTTTTTATGGAAGCTTCATCACATAGGCCTGATAGACTACATCATCGGCCATTGCCAGTCAGCTCAACCTTCAGCCCTTTTCCCCTTCCTGAAGGATGGGAGTGGGACTGAAAGTGCCAACCTTCTCATCATGGCTTGGTCTTTCTGGTGACCAGTCCCCATCCAGGAGTTCACTGAGAATCATTTCATTAAAACAAAAGACGTTCCTATCACCCGGGAAATTCCAAGGGATTAGAAGCTCTGTCAGGAACCAGGGTCAAGCACCAAATATTAGAACAAAAGATTCTCCTAGCATAAATATTAGAACAAAAGATTCTCCTAGCATAAATATTAGAACAAAAAATTCTCCTATTGCTCAGGAAATTATAAGAGTTTTAGGGGCTCTGTACCAGGAACCCAGCGCAGAGGCCAAATATATATATTTTATTATCTCACAGTGCCACACAGGACTTTGCAAGCTGTCAGGTCTGAGTGAGATGGAGCACACCAGTGAAAGGTTAAGTTCACCCTTTCACTGATGTGCTCCACTTCACTGAGACACATATCCACACAGACACACAGAGACACACACATCCACCCAGACGCACGCATCCACCCACACACCTCCACACATGCCTACACACTAACATGCATAACACAGCTGACATATGCCTATGAGAGGTCAGAATACCTGGATTCAAATCCTGCCACTGCCTCTTATTCTGTGACCATGAGCAAATGACTTGGCCTCTCTGTGCCTCAGTTTCTCACAAAATGCCTTTCAGAATTTTTTTTTTTTTTTTTAGAGACAGAGTTTCAATATGTTGACCAGGCTGGTCTCAAACTCCCGGCTTCAAGCAATCCTCTTGCCTCAGTCTCCCAAAGTGCTGGGATTGCAGGTGTGAGCCACTGCACCTGGCCCCTAATTTTTCTATTATTTGTTTGTTTTTTAGAGACAGGGATCTCACTATGTTGCCCAGGCTGGATTCAAACTCCTGGGCTTAAGTAATCCTGCCTCAGTTTCTGGTTCTGTGTAATGGGAGTTATAACAGAACCTATTTCATAGGGCTGTTATGAAGATTAAGTGAGTTAATACCATACTTATGAAGCACTTAGAACATGCCTGGCTCATAATAAGCACGACAAGTGTTACGCTTGTTTAATTGTTTGAAATTCACGTGGGCATATGTGTTGACATATACAGACTGCCATGTACATATTGCACAGATATACATATGCACACACTCAGGTGCTGGGGATCTTCCCTTTTCCTCTTCTGGGGCACACGTCTTGAACTTTGCTATGTGGCAGCTGGGTGAGTAAACCTCAGGGCGAGTGACTGCTGCTATTCTGGAGACACCCAGGACCTCACCAACAGTGTTTCCCCCACCCTTCCACTCCCCACCTGAGTGAAGGTGTTTAGGATGGCAGCCTTGGGGAGGGAAAGAGGTTTAACCCCCTCCCCATGGGCTCCAAGGGACCAGGGAGGGAGGAAGGAGGAAGAGGGCCAAGGACAGGCTCCTAGGCTCAGCCATTTCCTCAAGAAATGCTCTGTTTCTAGTCTCATACAGGACCCAGAACAACCAAGTCTGAGCCAAGCAGAGCCCCTTAATCATGAGAGTAATCACCAGATCCCCCACATACCACCTCTTTTCCATGGGAGAACGTGGCCCAGGTGCCAAATCACTGGCCTACAGCTGTTCTTTGGAGGCAGGGCCAAGGGGCCCAAGGAGGCGGCTGCCCCTGGGGGTGAATGAGTGGCGCCTCCCTGGGCGAGACATGTTTGCTGCTCTCGACTGAGGCCAGCTGTGTGGGGGTGGGGGGAGAGGGGAGGGAATGAGGATGATCACATTGACCACATTCTGAAGGTTACCAAGTTTCTGCCACATATCCAGGCTCCTTCCCTCTTGTTTCTTCCAGGAGGTGGGATTTCAGACATTCCTAAGGGCTGGTTTCTTCTTAGAACTGGAACTTCTTACCATGCCAGAAAGGAAATGAGGTTTGTCTGGCTGAGCCGGTCATGGCAGGCAAGCCTCATTTCCGTCTTTGGCAGTGTCCCCAGGCAGGGAATGTGGCTACTGCCTTTTTCTGGGCTTCAGGACCTGTACCCAGGCTGTGAGGCAGAGGAACCCCAGGTGCAGAGGAGGTTGTTATGAGTGACAGGGTCAATAGACTGGAAACCAGAGGAACATGACACCCCAAGGACATTTGCCCTGCAGCGAGATGTGTTCCAGGGTCACCAAGAGTAGAGAGAGGGCACAATGATATCACGGTGTATTTGGGGAGAGTGAGTGCCAGGTCACCAGGCAGGGAGCCTGGAAAGACAAGCCAGGAGGAAGCCATACAATGACCATTACGTGTGGCTGTCTCTGACTCCCCACTTGCTGTGTGATGCTGGGCAAGTTGGTTCCCCTCTCTGTGTCTCTGTGTCTTCTGTAGGAAGTGCCCTGCTGTTGACTTTTCCTCTTGCCCTGCGACTAACCTTCTCTGTCTTCTTGAGGGAAGTCCATTTATTTCTGGGTCATCATTTGTAAAAGCAGCAGGATCACCCCTTCCTGCTCTCCTCCCTCCCTGCCTCCCTCCCAGGGCTTCCTGGAGCATCACGGGGTAAGCTATTAAAGTTCTACCTGGTGAGGGAGGGCTGGCATGGCGTTGGAGACATCTCCCTCTTGTGCCCAATGCCATCCACGCTCCATTGCTGTCCCTCAGAAGTGCTTCTTTGTCTCCATCCTTCCTCTCACCTGCTCTTCCTTAACTTCCAAAACTCAGGCTTCCTGATCATCCCCTACCAAGCTCAGCAGGGTCAAGAGTACCCAGGGGCCTGAGGGAGAAGCACAGGGATGCGGACAGGGTGGCTGTACCTCTGCTCAGCTCCCAGGAGTAAGAAATAGGGTTAAGAGGAGCGTGGGAGCAAACTCCCTACCCAGGCTTCTTTCAGCTGGGCCATCTGTCCTTTGACAAAGGGATCTAGGATTTCCTGACCTTAAGAAGGCTCCCTTAAGTGGAAATGCAGATAAAAATCACAAAGAGATACACCAATTTGGATGGTTATTATTTTAAAAACCAGAAACACAAAATAAGTGTTGGCAAAGATATGCAGAAATTGGATCTGATGTTAGTCATTGTTGATTCAGGGTAAAAGAAAAGAAGAAATTGGAATACTTGTGCATTGCTGGTAGGAATGTAAAATGGTGGAACCCCTATGGAAAATGGTATGGAAATTCCTCCAAAAATTAAACATGGAATTACCATAGAATGCAACAAGTCCATTTTTAGCTATATACCCAAAAGAAATAAAAACAGGAGCCTGAGCAGATACTAGTTCCTAGCACTATTATTCACAGTAGCCAAAAAAAAAAAAAAAAAAAAAACCCACGAGTCCATTGATGGATAAACAAAAGGCGGTATATACATACAATGGAATATCGGTCAGCCTTAAAAGGGGAGGAAATTCTGACATATACTACAACTCAGATGAACCTTGAAGATATTATGCTAACCGAAATAAGTCAGTCACAAAAGGACAAATATCATATGATTGCACTTAGACGAGTCAGCTAAAATAGTCAAACTCACAGAGACAGAAGGCAGAATGGTGGTTGTCAGGGGCATGGGGAAGGGAAGGGGAATGGGGAGTTATTGTTTAATGAGTACAGAGTTTTAGTTGGGGAAGATGAAAAAGTTCTGGAAATGGATGGTGGTGGTGCAACAATATGAATGTACTTTATGCCACAGAACTTTACATTGGCACTCTGCCCCCGATGACTGACTTTTCAGTTGCTACCTGTTCCCATTTAAAAATGGTTAAAATGGGCCGGCTTGGTGGCTCATGTCTGTAATCCTAGCACTTTGGGAGGCTGAGGCGGGAGGATCACCTGAGGTTGGGAGTTCTCGAGACCAGCCTGACCAACATGGAGAAACCCTGTCTCTACTAAAAATACAAAATTAGCCAGGCGTGGTGGTGCATGCCTGTAATCCCAGCTACTAGGGAGGCTGAGGCAGGAGAATCTCTTGAACCTGGAAGGCGGAGGTTGTGGTGAGCCGAGATTGGGCCATTGCATTCCAGCCTGGGCAACAAGAGTGAAACTCCATCTCAAAATAAATAAATAAATAAGGTTAAAATGTGGAGGCCGGGCGCAGTGAGTGGCTCACGCCAGTAATCCCAGCACTTTGGGAGGCCAAGGTGGGCGGATCACTTGAGGTCAGGAGTTTGAGACCAGCCTGGCCAACACAGTGAAACCCCGTCTCTACTAAAAATACAAAAATTAGCTGGGCGTGGTGGCACATGCCTGTAATCCCAGGCACTCAGGAGGCTGAGGCAGGAGAATTGTTTGAACCCAAGAGGTGGAAGTTGCAGTTCATTTACTTAGCACGTCACTGCACTCCAGCCTGGGCAACAGAGTGAGACTGTCTCAAAAAAAAAAAAAAAGGTAAAATGATGCATTTTCTGTTATGTGTATTTTACCACAGTATGAAAAAATAAGAAGACTCCTGTGGTGAAGGCTTCGCCTGGTCTGTTCTGCTCTGGAGGTGGCAGCGCATGGTGGTTAGTCCCAGCATCTTCCTGGAGATTTGAGCGTGAGACGTGCTGGCTGTGTGGGCTGTGCCACCTGAGGAGGATTGGCCAGTCATAAGGACTCAGCCTGGTTGCTGAATCCAGCTGGGGACCTTGACCCCAGTGACTGGCTTTTCAGCGGCTACCTGTTCTCGAGACAAATGCTGTCCTCCCCTAAGGAGTCTGGGCTGTGGCAAAGCTATGACATAGGTACAACCGTCCTTTTGCCAGGTGGGGCTTAGGTGGAGAAGTTGAAGCCTGGACTCAGTCAAGATCTCAGGACTGGGAGCAAGGAGCCTCTTACTCCCAGGGTGCCCACTTGGTTCCCACTGACTGTTGGTGGAAACTAGGGGCTGAGCTGGAGGCTTTTTAGAGGAAGAAATGACAAGCTGGGGGCTGGATTATCCCTGGGGGTGAAAATGGAGTCAGCTAGATAGGTTATGTCTTGAAGGAGAGGAGGGTCCCCTGGTGTCAGGAAGCAGAGCCTGAACTCCATGTTAGACCCTGGATTGGAGAGTGGGCAGGACACTTGGGAGAGACAGGACTTGGTACTGGCGAGGGTACTACCACACCCATTCTGGGAGTGGACTATAGAGAAATAAATCCTAAAAGTGGACCTATCTTTTGACCTCACAAGTCAACTTCTAGGAATTCATCCTAAGAAAACAAAGTCACACCCCAAGATGTATGTGCGTCAGTGTTCGCCCTAGTGCTGTTTGTAGCCCTGGAAAATGAGAAGCCACCGTCAACGGGGGACTGTGCTAAGTAAAATGAAGTACATCCAAACAATCAAGTACTATGCAACCATTGAGAATGATGAAGTGGATCTATATTTATCGATTGGAAAGAGGCCTAAGGAAACAAAGGAAACTACAGAATGGTCTTTCCATATGAGGCAGGGAAATGTATGAATAATTTAGTGCAGAAATTACTCTGTAATTGTTTCTGGGAGCAGATGCATGAGCAAAAAATTGAAGATGATTTTCCTTCTCTACATAGCCTGGGGCCAGGCCCCTGTTCTAAGCGTCCCCGCCCCACCCTGGGCTGAGGCCTTTGTTCAGAATGTTGGCCCTGTTGAGAGGACATGCTGGGTTGTCTTCTGGGAGGAGTTGCATTCCCCATAAGTCCCCCAGTCTTGGAAGGGTGATGCAGGGTTCCTCCCCTGGGGGAATGGTGGAGGCCTGAACTCTGTTCACAGGTGGTGGGAAATGGCATGGCTGTAGGAAGGTCTGAGAAGGCAGAATGGGAGCTCAACACAGGCTGGGGGGGCTTCTGGCAATTCTCTCAGGTTTAGAAAAATAGTTACAACATTTCTTGCCACTCTTTTGTGAGGGCAATTGAACTGTCAAGCCTCAAGACACTAAAGAATGGAAAGAATGCGGTAGGAGAGGAACACTGTCTTGGCTCTGGAGGGGCGAGATTCGCCTCTTGTGCCTGATCAGAGCTCGACAAGGGGGACCCCTTTTCTAGTAGATCTTTGACTCCAGAATCTAGGAGCCCTGTTGCAGAGGGAGGCCCTGACATCTGGATTTTGACACAGACCTGAGCCTGGAGCTGTTGGAAACTCATTTCTGGGACAGATGTGGAATGCTGGACAATCAAACGTCGCCGGGGCCTTTGGAGTGCTCCCTGTGTCCTGTTGCGGTGGCCACAGTGACTTTGGTCTCCCCTGATGACAGAAGCACAGGAGAAAGGCCAGCTCCATGGCCCAGCTCTTAGTTCCCACCTTCCTCCAAGGCGGGCCTGTGGGGCAGGGAGGGTGCAGGTGGACTCGTGAACCCCTCACCCGTGTTCACCCTCCATGAGCACACTCGGCGCTTTCCCACGTACCGTGTGTTGCTCCTTACAATAATTCCAGCATGGGAAACTTAGGCTCAGGGAGCTCACATGACTTGCACAAGGTCACACAGAGTTTGGGTCTGACACAGACCTCCTGAGTCCCAGGCTAGGGCTCTGGCCACTGGACCATGACCCAGCTCCTCATCCACACAGTGTGGGAGCAGGGCGATGGAGGCTGTGAGGTTCCTTGCCCCAGCCAGGGAAGCTGTGGCCTCAGCAGCACTGCCGAGAGAAGTACAGCCTGGATCCAGGGCTGGAGCCAAGAGCACCTTTGGGATGAGATTGTTTGTGTTTTGTTTTGTTTTCCCTTTACTGTTTTAGAGGACTTAGGAACCTAGTAAACTTGACAGCGACAGTTCCGTATACCAGGGGCATTGCATTGGTGTCACCACGGTCTGGGAGATGTACAGGAATGGTTAACACTGAAACAATCCATGAGGATGCAAGGAGGCCTGAGGCGTGGGGAAGAGGGAAGAAGGGAGACTCCTGAGGGCTGGGGATGCAAGTGGACCTGAAGACATGGGGTTTTCTGCCTCTGAGGCATCACTCTGGGCAGCAACAACCAGTTCCTGCTTCATGGACAACACAGCTTCTTAATCCTCCTGGACCTGCCCTGCCTGGGCCAACACCTGGTGCTCAGGAGGGCTCAGCACAGTGTCTGTCTGAAGACTGCGGGGACCCAGAAGTCCAGGTGGAGACCTAGGATTCCCCAATAAGGCCTAGATGCCTGCTTAGTTCTCCCTTTCTCTTCTGGGCACCTTTCCTCCCCGACTGTACACCCTCTTCCCAAGGGAGAGCAATTGCCACACTATTCCAAGACCCCCCTGTAAGTTCTCAGCCAAAGGCATTTTCCTAAGCAAAGCCAGGGGCTGTGGTTTGTTTTGATGACAAGCTGAATCAAGACTGCTAAAAAGCAGGCTGTTGGGTTTAACTTCATCAACTCCAAGCCTCAATGATTTGTGTTCCATGTGGTTTGCTCTGGATAGACACTGACCTAGTGACAATGAGACTATGGAATGGGGAGAGAAGAATTGCATGCTGAGGACAGGAGAAATCTTCCCCATGAACAATTTGTCTGTTGGGCATGACATCTCATATGTCAGCTTGGGCCATTCCTACCAGCTTGGAATGCTCTGTGTCTGACTCAGATGCTGTGTGTGTCTCAAGGGCGCTGGGCTTGGTGGCCTCTGTGAATTTGGCTGGCAGATCTTGGCCCTGCTGGCTCCCAGGATCCATGGGCACTCTTCCTGTCTTGGGTCTACCCTGTCGTGCAGGTTCACTGCCCACAACCTCCGGGAGACTGTTCCAAGGGTTTTCTTTGTGGGAGACAAGGCCTGCCAGGCCTTTCCCTGGCCCCTCTCCAACCCTGATGTCAGTACACATCCTAGCATACTGCTGGGAATGCCTCAATTTGAGGGAGTGCAATTAGTTGAGGGAACTGAGGAAGTGCTGTAATGGGAGTCTAGGGTTGACCCCTGGGTGACCAAGGCCAGAATGTCAAAGGCGTTTGAACCAGAGCAACTCCATCTTGAACTGGGGCTGGGTGAAATAAGGCTGAAACCTACTGGGCTGCATTCCCAGAAGGTTAGGCATTCTTAGTCACAGGATGAGACTGAAGGTTGGCATAGGATACAGGTCACAGACCGGGCGTGGTGGCTCACACTTGTAATCCCAGCACTCTGGGAGGCCGAGGCGGGTGGATCACTGGAGGTTAGGAGTTTGAGACCGGTCTGGCCAACATGGCGAAATGCCATCTCTACTAAAAATACAAAAATTAGGCATGGTGGTAGGCGCCTGTAATACCAGCTACTCGGGAGGCTGAGACAGGAGAATCGCTTGAACCTGGGAGGTGGAGGTTGCAGTGAGCCGAGATCACACCATTGCACTCCAGCCTGGGCAACAAGAGTGAAACTCCGTCTCAAAAAAAAAAAAAAAAAGATACAGGTCACAAAGACCCTGCTGATAAAACAGGATGCTGTAAAGAAGCCAACCAAAACCCACCAAAACCAAGATGGTGATGAAAGTGACCTCTGGTGTCCTTACCACTCACTATATGCTAATTATAATGCATTCGCATGCTAAAAGACACTCCCATTCCCATCAGTGCCACGACAGTTTAAAAATGCCATGGCAATGTCTGGAAGTTACCCTATACGGTCTAAAAAGGGGAGGAACCATCAGTTCTGGGGGAAATCCCCACCCCTTTCCCAGAAAACTCACGAATAATTCACCTCTTGTTTAGCATATAATCAAGAAATAACTATAAGTATACTCAGTCAAGCAGCCCACTCCGCTGTTCTGCCAGTGGAGTAGCCATTCTTTTATTCTTCTGCTTTCTTAATAAACTTGCTTTCGTTTTACTCCATGGACTTGCCCCAAGTTCTTTCTTGCACAAGATCCAAGAACCCTTTCTTGGGGTCTAGATTGGGATCCTTTTCCTGTAACAAGATCATCTCTCTACTCCCCATCTGGAAACGGGGTCAGGAGGCTACGAGGGCCTTTCCAAGCTGCCATTTTGTATTTCTAAGAAAACTCTTCAGCCTGATTATAGTTACTGCTAGGGTGCTAAAGACAGGACTCTTATCCTCCCTCAAGGTCTCAAAGCCAGAAACAAAGGTCTACTTTGTCAATCCAGGAAACTAGGGAAGGGAGGAATGGAGGAAGGGCAGTCCCTGGTAGTTCCGAGGGATCCCCCAGGGCATGGCCAAGAGGCCAAAGGGAACTAGGCCTCCTCTGCGTGTTTTCCTGGAAGGCTCTACTGCTTTTCCTTCTTCAGCTGGGTTCTACCCCTGAACCAAAGCCACAAAAACACAAAGTTCAGCTTAAAAAGTAAAACACAAAACTTGTCCCAAGAGTCTCTGGTGACCTAGTTCTGGTGACCAAATTCTGGCCTGAGGCTGACCCCAAGGGAACCTCAGAGCATCAGCCTCTCACAGCGCCCTGGGGGTATTCAGTCCTGAGTACCTTGGCTGTAAGGCCAGCCCCCTGCTGAAGTCCCCCTTGCCAGAGTCAACCAGAGGGCCACTCTTTTTCAAAGGGACTTGGTGGTCAGGTGCCAGCTGTACTTTACCAGAGAGGAGGGGAACCCAGTAGGAGCTTTAGGGCTATGGGCCAAGGAGACCCTGCCAACCTGGAAGGCAGTAATTATCTCCTCTGCAGGTATTCACAACATTTACTGGGTCACAGAGCACCTCCATAGCTTGGGAGGCCTGTTGCTCACCACAGCTTTGGGACGTGACATGGTGGTTGGCCAAATGTAAAGAGTATGGACTTTAGAGCCAGATACGTTTGGGTTTAAAGACTTGGCTTCAGGCCGGGCATGATGGCTCATGCCTGTAATTCCAGCATTTTGGGAGGCCGAGGCAGGCAGATCACCTGAGGTCAGGAGTTCGAGACCAGCGTGGCCAACTTGTTGAAACCCTGTCTGTCCTAAAAATACAAAAATTAGCCAGGCGTGGACTCTATCTCAAGACAAATAAAAAAATAATAAAGACTTGGCTTCACCACATAGTCACTGGGGAACTGTAGGCAAATTGCTTTTTTGTGGACATCCACAATTATCCCAGTACTGTTTATTGAAAAGCTGTTGTCCTTTCTCCACTGTACTTCAATGCCACCTTGGTCATAAAGCAACTGTCCTTTCCTGTGAGGGTCTGTCCCTGGACTCTATTCTAGTTCATGGCTTTATTTATCTATCGTTGTCCCACTACCATACTGTACCTTTTTACTGAAACTTGTTCTTTTTTTATTGAGTGTCTTGGCTCTTGCATTTCCATAAGAACTTTACAATCAGCCTCTCAAGAGCCACCAAAAAACCCCACCATAATCACCCCACTTTTTGAGATATTGATTGAAATGCTGGTAAGTTTATGGATCACTATAAGAGACCTGATATCTTTAAAACATCAAACCTTCAACGTATAAACAAGATAGAATCCTCTTTTGGTTTAGGTCTTCTTGCATTTCTTCACAGGGATCTTATACATTTTTATTATTTTTTCCCAGGTATTGTATATATTTTTACTCTTTTTTATTTTTTGAGACAGAGTCTTGCTCTGTCGTCCAGCGGGGAGTACAGTGGCATGATCTCGGCTCACCGCAACCTCCGCCTCCCAGGCCCAAGTGATTCTCCCACTTCAGCCTCCTGAGTACCTGGAACTACAGGCACATGCAACCATGCCTGGCTATTTTTTTCTATTTTCTGTGGAGACAGGCTTTCACCATGTTGCTCAGGCTGGTCTCGAACTCCTGGGCTCAAGTGATCCACCTGCCTTAGCTTCCCAAAGTGCTGGGATTATAGCCGTAAGCCATTGCGCCCAGTCTATTTTCACTATTTTTAAATAAATGATAGCCTTTTGAAACATATTTTTCTTTTGTTGCTCATATATGTAAACACAATTTTCGTATATTGACTTTGTATTCAGTAACCTTGATAACTAATTCTAATAATTTTCTCCACATTCATTTGGATTTTCTAAGTATCTTCTACGAAGATTTCCTGTCATCTTTAAATGTTTCTTCCGGCCGGGTGCGGTGGCTCACGCCTGTAATCCCAGCACTTTGGGAGGCCAAGGTGAATAGATCGCTTGAGCTCAGGAGTTTGAGACCAGTCTGGGCAACATGGCGAAACCCCATCTCTACTAAAAATACAAAAATTAGCCACGGATGGTGGCACGCGCCTGTAGTCCCAGCTACTTGGGAGGCTGAAGCAGGACGATCACTTGAACCCGGGAGGCGGAATTTGTGGCGGGCCGAGATCGCACCACTGCACTCCAGCCTGGGCAACAGAGCAAGACTCCGTCTCAAAAAAAAAAAAAAAAAAAGATGTTTCTTCCTTTCCAATCTCAAAGCTTTTATTTCGTACCTTCCTGTGCTGTCTAGGACTTTCATTACAATGTTGAATAGCGGTAGTAGAGAGGTATTTTCATTTATTCTAAGTCTAGATCTCTAAAGGAAAACTAAAGTTTCACCATTAAGAAGGGTATTTGATATAGTTAAGAATGATAGTTGAAGGCCAGGCACGGTGGCTCACGCCTGTAATCCCAGCACTTTGGGAGGCCGAGGCAGGTGGATCACCTGAGGTCGGGAGTTCGAGGCTAGCCTGACCAACATGGAGAAAACCCGTCTCTACTAAAAATACAAAAAAATCAGCCAGATGTGGTGGTGCATGCCTGTAATCCCAGCTACTCGGGAGGCTGAGGCAGGAGAATCACTTGAACCCAGGAGGCAGAGGTTGTGGTGAGCCAAGATCATACCATTGCACTCCAGACTGGGCAACAAGAGTGAAACTCCATCTCAAAAAAAAAAAATGATATTTGATATAGTTTTATGTAGACTTTCATTATACTAAGAAAATTCCCTTCTATTCCTTGTTTGGTAAGAGTTAAGTTTTTTGTTTTGTATTGTTTTGGTTTAATCATGAATGGATGTTGAATTTTATTAAATGCTTTTCGGCATCTATTAAAATGATCACGTGATTTTTCTCCCTTATTCTGTTAACGGGGTAGATTTCTTGGATTGGTTTTCAAGTGTTAAGCCAAACTTGCATTCCTAGAATAGAAACAATTTACTCATTATGTAGTGACCTTTTTATCTATAGCAAGATTTGGTTGGCTAATCTACTATTTAGGATTTTTACATCTATGTTCATGACCAAAATTAGTAGGTAATTTTCCTTACTCATAATATCCTCCTTAGATTTTCATATCGCTGAAAAAGTCTTTTTCCTTTTTATTTCAATCTCATAATTATGTTCAAAGGAAAAAGTTTTGTGGCCAAGCACACTGGCTCATTTCTATAATCCCAGCACTTTGGGAGGCCGAGGCAGGAGGATCATTTGAGCCAGGAGTTTGAGGCTGCAATGAGCCATGATCACACCACTGCACTCCAGCCCGGGTGATAGAATGAGAAGACCCTGTCTAAAAACAACAACAGAAAGGCCAGCAATGGTAGCTCAGGCCTGTAATCCCAGCACTTTGGGAGGCCAAGGTGAGCAGATCACTTGAGGTCAGGAGTTCTAGACCACCCTGGCCAACATGGTGAAACTCTGTCTCTACTAAAAATGTCTCTCTCAAAAGATCTTATTGTACTATGCTTACCTATTTTCAGATTGCAGTTGACCATGGGTTAATGAAACCATGGAAAAGGAGACTGTGGATAAGAGGGGGACTACAGTAGTCAGAATTTTAGGGGACAGTGTTCTGTGTATGTCTCTTAGGTCAAAGTTGTTAATTGTATTGTTCAAATCTTCTATTTCGTTAATGAATTTTTTTTTTTTTTTTTTTTTTTTTTTTTTTTTTGAGATGGAGTCTCACTCTGTTTCCCAGGCTGGAGTGCAGTGGCGCAATCTCGGCTGACTGCAAGCTCCGCCTCCCGGGTTCATGCCATTCTCCTGCCTCAGCCTCCCGAGTAGCTGGGACTACAGGCACCTGCCACCACGCCCAGCTAATTTTTTGTATTTTTAGTAGAGACGGCATTTCACTGTGTTAGCCAGGATGGTCTGGAATTCCTGACCTCATGATCTGCCCGTCTCAGCCTCCCAAAGTGCTGAGATTACAGGCATCAGCCACCATGCCCGGCCCTACCTTAATGAATTTTGAAATCAAATCTTCTATACTCTTTGCTTGTTGAAAATTTCCCACTAGGCTTGTAGCTTTTTCTATTTGTCTTTGTAGTTCTATCAGTTCTTACGTCTTGTGCTTTGAGACTATGTTATTAGAGATTTAGCAATTTAGGATTGTTGTATCTTCTGGGTTTAAGACTTTTTGGCCGGGCGCAGTGGCTCTCAGCTGTAATGCCAGCCCTTTGGGAGGCAGAGGTGGGCGGATTGCCTGAGGTCAGGAGTTTGAGACTAGCCTGGCCAACATGGGGAAACCCCATCTCTACTAAAACTACAAAAATTAGCCAGGCAATGGTGGTACACGCCTGTAATCCCAGGTACTCGGGAGGCTGAGGCAGGGGAATTGCTTGAACCTGGGAGGCAGAGGTTGCAGTGAGCTGAGATCGTGACACTGCACTCCAGCCTAGGCAACAGAGTGAGACTGGGTCTCAAAAAAAAAAAAAAAAAAAGAATTTTTGCCTTAAAGTAAATTTTATCTAGGAATTATATAGTGGTGATGGCTGCATAATATTTTGAACATACTGAAAAAAAATTGAATTATATACTTTAAAAGGAAGGAGGAAACCAACCTTTTATTTTATATATATATATACACACACTATATATATACATATATATACACGTATATATACACACATATATATATAAAATACAGCTATATCAGCTTTCTTTTAGAGTCTTCCAATTTTATATTTCTCAGTCCTTTTACTGTATCCTTTTTTCCATATCCTTATGCCTTACCTGTATCCTTATGCCTTACTGTATCCTTATGCCTTACCTCTGTCTCTGGTAAATAGCATGTTGTTTGTTTTTTAAACCTGTCTACTAATTCTTGTATTTTAACTGGAGAATTTCTTTTCCATTTATATTCACTGTAACTATTGGTATATTTCAGTCTGAATCTATAATTTTATTAAGTTCTTTCTTTTTTTTTTTTTGAGACGGAGTCTTGCTCTGTTGCCCAGGCTGGAGTGCAGTGGCATGAACTTGGCTCACTGCAACCTCTGCCTCCCAGGTTCAAGCTATTCTCTGGCCTCAGCCTCCCAAGGTAGCTGGGATTACAGGCGCATGCCACCATGCCCGGCTAATTTTTGTATTTTTAGTAGAGACGGAGTTTCACCATGTTGGCTAGGCTGGTCTTGAGCTCCTGACCTCATGATCCACCTGCCTCGGCCTTCCAAAGTGCTGGATTACAGGCGTAAGCCACCGCGCCCAGCCCTAAATGCTTTGTATTTGTCTCCTCAGTCATCCTCAGTCATCATCAGTGGCTTTGACGTGAGAAGACTTTGTGGAATGGTAGAGAGGAAAGTTATATTGGAATAGGGTGGGAGTGAACAGATTGAGGGAGCAGAAATAGCATTTTGGGGGCAACTGTTTCTAGAAGTTTCGCTATGAAGGAAAGCAGAGAAATGAGGTGGAGTATGAAAAGAAATAATAGGCCAAGGAAGAATTTTAAGAGTGAGAGATACCAGAGCATGTTTGTATGCTGAAAGAGCACTCTTTATGTGCTCTATATTCCCTTTTCTCTCCTTTCTTGCCTTCTTTTGAATTGATAATATATTTTTAACTTTTCTACATTTTTTCTCTACCGGCTTGGAAATTATGCACCCTTTCACTATTCTTTTAGTAATACTACAGGGATTACTATATCCACCCTTGACTTATTTAAGTCTAATAGGAATTTATCTTCTTCCAGGATAGTGCAAGAACCTTGGAACACTTTTACTCCATTTACTGTCTTGGCTTTTACGTCATTGTTGTTATACGTTTTAATTTCATTTCCAACCTCATGTTATTATTATTGCTTTATGCAGCCAGCATCAATTCAGGTTTATAAACATATTTACCATCTTCATTGTTTTTCATTCTTTTCTGCGTTTGCAAGCTTTTTTTTTTTTTGAGACGGAGTCTCTCTCTGTCGCCCAGGCTGGAGTGCAGTGGCACAGTCTCGGCTCACTGCAAGCTCCGCCTCCCGGGTTCACGCCATTCTCCTGCCTCAGCCTCCCGAGTAGCTGGGACTACAGGCACCCGCCACTATGGCCAGCTAATTTTTTGTATTTTTAGTAGAGACGGGGTTTCACCGTGTTAGCCAGGATGGTCTCGATCTCCTGACCTCGTGATCCGCCCGCCTTGGCCTCCCAAAGTGCTGGGATTACAGGGGTGAGCCACCGCGCCCGGCCATTTGCAAGCTTCTGTGTGGCATCATTTTCCTTTGACCTAAAGAACATTTTTTAGTATGGCTCAATCAGTGACAGATTTTCTCATTTTTATTTGTCTGAAAATGTCTTTATTTTACTTTCATTCTTTTTGAGAAATTTTTACAATGGAAAACTTCAAACATATGCAAAAGTAGAGAGACTAGTATAATGAAGCTGTATATCCATTATTTAACTTCAACAATTATCAGCACCTATCCAATCTGTTTCCCACCACACAGTCCCCACCCAGTTCCAGGTTATTTTGAAGAAAGTCCCTGGCATCATAATATTTCAACCGTAGGCCGGGCGCAGTGGCTCACGCCTGTAATCCCAGCACTTTGGGAGGCCGAAGCGGGTGGATCGCCTGAGGTCAGGAGTTCAAGACCAGCCTGGCCAACATGGTGAAACCCCGTCTCAACTAAAAATACAAAAAAATTAGTTGGGCATGGTGGGGGGTGCCTGTAATCCCAGCCACTTTGGGAGGCTGAGGCAGGAGAATCGCTTGAACCTGGGAGACGGGTTGCAGTGAGCCAAGATTGTGCCATTGCACTCCAGCCTGGGCAACAAGAGCGAAAGTCTGTCTCAAAAAAAAAAAAAATTCATCTGTAAATTCTTTAGTGTCTATCCCTAAAAGATAAGTACTCGTTAAAAAAAACCACGACAATTTAAAATAAATTAAATTACTTACTATCAAATATTCAGTCAGTATTCAAATTCCTCCGATTTTTTCTTATTCTTTTATTTACAGTTTTTTTTTTTTTGAATCAGAATCTTACCTTTCTCCTTGAAGGGTATTTTTGCTGAATATAGAATTCAAATTTGGCAGTTATTTTCTTTCAGTACCTTAAATATGTAATTCCATTGTCTGCTGGTTTTCATTATTTCTGAGCAGAAGTCATTGATTAAATTGTTGCTTTTTTTTTTTTTGGAAGATAATGCATCTTTATTCCTTTGACTGCTTTTAAGATTTTCTCTTTGTCACTGGTTTTGATGTGTCCCATGTAGACTATGTGTCCAATGTACTATGATGTGTCCGGGTGCAGACTTCTTTTTATTTATTCTGCCTGGGTTTCTAGGATTTCTTGAATCTGTGATTTGATACCTTTCTTCGTTTTTGGAAAGTCTTCAGCCATTAATCCTTCAGGCTTTTCTTCTACCCCGTTATCTCTCTCTTCTGTCTTACAGGAACTTGAATTATACATGTGTTAGAACTTCTCATCGCACTCTTTATGAATCATTTCCTCTCTTCTGTATTTTCCATACTTTTGTCTCTCTGCACCTATTTCTGTTTTTTTCTGACTTATTTTCTAATTCATACATTCTCTCTTTAGTTTGTCAGATCAACTGGTAAACCTATCCATAATTACTTATTATTGATGATTGTACGGGTATACCTTGGAGAGACTGTGGGTTCAGTTCAAGACCACCACAATAAAGTGAATATTGCAATAAAGTGAGTCAAACAAATTTTCTGGTTTCTGAGTGTATATAATAGTTTATGTTTGCACTAGAGTCATTAAGTGTGCAATAGCATTATGTCTAAAAACCAATGCACATGCCTTGATTTTTAAATATTGTATTGCAGCCACGAGGTGGCTCATGCCTATAGTCGCAGCTACTCAGGAGGCTGAAGTGGGAGGACTGTTTGAGCCCAGCAGTTTGAGGCTGCATTGAGCTATGATTGTGCCACTGCACTTCAGCCTGGGTGACAGAGCGAGACCCTGTCTCTAAAAAGAAGAAGGAGGAGGAGGAGAGGGACAGAGGGAGAAGGAGGAGAAGTAGAAGGAGGGGGAGAAGAAGGAGAAGAAGAAGAAAAACATTGCTGAAAAAGGCTCTCACTTTGTGAGATAAAGAAACAAAGTGAGCACATGTTATCAGAAAAATGGCCTTGATAGATGGTCCAGGCAGGGTTGCCACAAACATTCAATTTGTAAAAAGTGCAATTCCCCAAATAAATAAAATAAAATAAAGTGGTGCACAATAAAACAAAACATGCATGTGTTTTTGGTTCTTGAATTTCCATTTAGGTCCTTTTTTATTATTCCCAGTCCTCTGCTGAAATTCTTAACGATGCCTTTGAGGATGGTAAACATAGTTACTTTAAAGTTGGTTTGTTATCATGCCAACATTTGGAGCCCCTGTGGAGTTATTTCTATTGTCTACTGGTTTTGCTGGTTTTCATTCATGCTATATTATCTCTTCATGAGCCAGAAATTGTATTTGCAAAATACAATGCAAAAAATTGCTTATAGCAATAAGTTGAGGCCTGTGATGTCTTCCTCCAGAAAGGCTTTAAATTTGCTTCTGCCAGGCTCTTCAGAGGCAATGGCATTCCAGAATTACCTTATTCTAGTTGCAGGGATGGAGATGATTTGAAGCTGATTCCAATTAGGGTCTGTCTACTTGTAATTCACCCTTACTTCCAAGGTTCAGCTGTTCCATATCTCAACTTGGGGAGGTTCATTAGGGCTCCTTTTTTTTTTTTTTGAATACTTTAAGCTCTAGGGTACATGCACACGACGTGCAGTCTTGTTACATATGTATACATGTGCCATGTTGGTGTGCTGCACCCATTAACTCGTCATTCACATTAGGTAATTCTCCTAATGCTATCCCTCCCCCCTCCCCCCACCCCCAACAGGCCCTGGTGTGTGATGTTCCCCGCCCTGTGTCCAAGTGTTCTCATCCTTCAATTCCCACCTGAGTGAGAACATGCAGTGTTTGGTTTTTTGTCCTTGCGACAGTTTGCTCAGAATGATGGTTTCCTGCTTCATCCATGTCTCTACAAAAGACATAACCCATCCTTTTCTATGGCTGCATAGTATTCCATGGTGCATATGTGCCACGTTTTCTTAATCCAGCCTGTCATTGATGGACATTTGGGTTGATTCCAAGTCTTTGCTATTGTGAATAGTGCTGCAATAAACATACGTGTGCATGTGTCTTTATAGCAGCACGATTTATAATCCCTTGGGTATATACCCAGTAATGGGATGGCTGGGTCAAATGGTATTTCTAGTTCTAGATCCTTGAGGAATCGCCACACTGTCTTCCACAATGGTTGAACTAGTTTACAGTCCCACCAACAGTGTAAAAGCGTTCCTATTTCTCCACATCCTCTCCAGCACCTGTTGTTTCCTGACTTTTTAATGTTCGCCATTCTAACTGGTGTGAGATGGCATCTCGTTGTGGTTTTGATTTGCATTTCTTTGATGGCCAGTGATGATGGGCATTTTTTTGGGTGTCTGTTGGCCGCATAAATGTCTCCTTTTGAGAAGTGTCTGTTCATATCCTTTGTGTAATTTTTGATGGGGTTGTTTGATATTTTCTTGTAAATTTGTTTAAGTTCTTTGTAGATTCTGGATATTAGCCCTTTGTCAGATAGGTAGATTGTAAAAATTTTCTCCCATTCTGTATGTTGCCTGTTCACTCTGATGGTAGTGTCTTTCGCTGTGCAGAAGCTCTTTAGTTTAATTAGATCCCATTTGTCAATTTTGGCTTTTGTTGCCATTGCTTTTGGTGCTTCAGTCATGAAGTCCTTGTCCATGCCTATGGCCTGAATGGTATTGCCTAGGTTTTCTTCTAGGGTTTTTATGGTTTTAGGTCTAACATTTAAGTCTTTAATCCATCTTGAATTAATTTTTGTATAAGGTGTAAGGAAGGGATCCAGTTTCAGCTTTCTACATATGGCTAGCCAGTTTTCCCAGCACCATTTATTAAATAGGGAATCCTGTCCTCATTTCTTGTTTTTGTCAGGTTTGCCAAAGATCAGATAGTTGTAGATATGCAGCATTATTTCTGAGGGCTCTGTTCTGTTCCATTGGTCTATATCTCTGTTTTGGTACCAGTACCGTGCTGTTTTGGTTACTGTAGCCTTGTAGGATAGTTTGAAGTCAGGTAGCGTGATGTCTCCAGCTTTGTTCTTTTGGCTTAGGTTTGACTTGGCAATGCAGGCTCTTTTTTGGTTCCACATGAACTTTAAAGTAGTTTTTTCCAATTCTGTGTGGAAAGTCATTGGTAGCTTGATGGGGATGGCATTGAATCTGTAAATTACCTTGGGCAGTATGGCCATTTTCACGATATTGATGAGCATGGAATGTTCTTCCATTTGTTTGTGTCCTCTTTTATTCCGTTGAGCAGTGGTTTGTAGTTCTCCTTGAAGAGGTCCTTCACATCCCTTATAAGTTGGATTCCTAGGTCTTTTATTCTCTTTGAAGCAATTGTGAATGGGAGCTAACTCATGATTTGGCTCTCTGTTTGTCTGTTATTGGTGTATAGGAATGCTTGTGGTTTTTGCACATTGATTTTGTATCCTGAGACTTTGCTGAAGTTGCTGATCAGCTTAAGGAGATTTGGGGCTGAGACGATGGGGTTTTCTAAATATACAATCATGTCATCTGCAAACAGGGAAAATTTGACTTCCCCTTTTCCTAATCGAATACCCTTTATTTCTTTCTCCTGCGTGATTGTCCTGGCCAGAACTTCCAACACTAGGTTGAATAGGAGTGGTGAGAGAGGGCATCCCTGTCTAGTGCCAGTTTTCAAAGGGAATGCTTCCAGTTTTTGCCCATTCAGTATGATATTGGCTGTGGGTTTGTCATAAATAGCTCTTATTAACTTGAGATACGTCCCATCAATACCTAATTTATTGAGAGTTTTTAGCATGAAGGGCTGTTGAATTTTGTTGAAGGCCTTTTCTGCATCTATGGAAATAATCATGTGGTTTTTGTCTTCGGTTCTGTTTATATGCTGGATTACGTTTATTGATTTGCATATATTGAACCAGCCTTGTATCCCAGGGATGAAGCCCACTTGATCGTAGTGGATAACATTTTGATGTGCTGGTGGATTCAGTTTGCCAGTATTTTATTGAGGATTTTCGCATTGATGTTCATCAGAGATATTGGTCTAAAATTCTCTTTTTTTGTTGTGTCTCTGCAAGGCTTTTGTATCAGGATGATGCTGGCCTCATAAAATGAGTTAGGGAGGATTCCCTCTTTTTCTGTTGATCGGAATAGTTTCAGAAGGAGTGGTACCAGCTCCTCTTTGTACCTCTGGTAGAATTCGGCTGTGAATCTGTCTGGTCCTGGACTTTTTTTGGTTGGTAAGCTATTAATTATTGCCTCAATTTCAGAGCCTGTTATTGGTCTATTCAGGGATTCAACTTCTTCCTGGTTTAGTCTTGGGAGGGTGTATGTGTCCAGGAATTTGTCCATTTCTTCTAGATTTTCTAGTTTATTTGCATAGAGGTGTTTATAGTATTCTCTGATGGTAGTTTGTATTTCTGTGGGATCGGTGGTGATATCCCCTTTATCATTTTTTACTGCATCTATTTGATTCTTCTCTCTTTTCTTTATTAGTCTTGCTAGCGGTCTATAAATTTTGTTGATCTTTTCAAAAAACCACCTCCTCTATTCATTGATTTTTTGAAGGGTTTTTTGTGTCTCTATCTCCTTCAGTTCTGCTCTGATCTTAGTTATTTCTTGCCTTCTGCTAGCTTTTGAATGTGTTTGCTCTTGCTTCTCTAGTTCTTTGAATTGTGATGTTAGGGTGTCAATTTTAGATCTTTCCTGCTTTCTCTTGTGGGCATTTAGTGCTATAAATTTCCCTCTACACACTGCTTTAAATGTGTCCCGGAGATTCTGGTATGTTGGGTCTTTGTTCTCATTGGTTTCAAAGAACATCTTTATTTCTGCCTTCATTTTGTTATGTACCCAGTAGTCATTCAGGAGCAGGTTGTTCAGTTTCCATGTAGTTGAGTGGTTTTGAGTGAGTTTCTTAATCCTGAGTTCTGGTTTGATTGCACTGTGGTCTGAGAGACAGTTTGTTGTGATTTCTGTCCTTTTACATTTGCTGAGGAGTGCTTTACTTCCAACTATGTGGTCACTTTTGGAATAAGTGCAATGTGGTGCTGAGAAGAATGTATATTCTGTTGATTTGGGGTGGAGAGTTCTGTAGATGTCTATTAGGTCCGCTTGGTGCAGAGCTGAATTCAATTCCTGGATATCCTTGTTAACTTTCTGTCTCGTTGATCTGTCTAATGTTGACAGTGGGGTGTTAAAGTCTCCCATTATTATTGTGTGGGAGTCTAAGTCTCTTTGTAGGTCTCTAAGGACTTGCTTTATGAATCTGGGTGCTCCTGTATTGGGTGCATATATATTTAGGATAGTTAGCTCTTCTTGTTGAATTGATCCCTTTACCATTATGTAATGGCCTTCTTTTTCTCTTTTGATCTTTGTTGGTCTAAAGTCCATTTTATCAGAGACTAGGATTGCAACCCATGCTTTTTTTTTTGTTTTCCATTTGCTTGGTAGATCTTCCTCCATCCCTTTATTTTGAGCCTATGTGTGTCTCTGCACATGAGATAGGTCTCCTCAATACAGTACACTGATGGGTCTTGACTCTTTATCCAATTTGCCAGTCTGTGTCTTTTAATTGGAACATTTAGTCCATTTACATTAAAAGTTAATATTGTTATGTGTGAATTTGATCCTGCCATTATGATGTTAGCTGGTTATTTTGCTCGTTAGTTGATGCAGTTTCTTCCTAGCATCGATGATCTTTACAATTTGGCATGTTTTTGCAGTGGCTGGTACTGGTTGTTCCTTTGCATGTTTAGTGCTTCCTTCAGGAGCTCTTTTAGGGCAGGCCTGGTGGTGACAAAAATCTCTCAGCATTTGCTTGTCTGTAAAGGATTTTATTTCTCCTTCATTTATGAAGCTTAGTTTGGCTGGATATGAAATTCTGGGCTGAAAATTCTTCTCTTTAAGAATGTTGAATATTGGCCCCCACTCTCTTCTGGCTTTTAGAATATCTGCCAAGAGATCCACTGTTAGTCTGATGGGCTTCCCTTTGTGGGTAACCCGACCTTTCTCTCCGGCTGCCCTTAATATTTTTTCCTTCATTTCAACTTTGGTGAATCTGACAATTAGGTGTCTTGGAGTTGCTCTTCTCGAGGAGTATCTTTGTGGCGTTCTCTGTATTTCCTGAATTTGAATGTTGGCCTGCCTTGCTAGGTTGGGGAATTTCTCCTGGATAATATCCTGCAGAGTGTTTTCCAGCTTGGTTCCATTCTCCCCGTCACTTTCAGGTACACCAATCAGACATAGATTTGGTCTTTTCACATAGTCCCATATTTCTTGGAGGCTTTGTTTCTTTTTACTCTTTTTTCTCTAAACTTCTCTTCTTGCTTCATTTCATTCATTTGATCTTCAGTCACTGATACCCTTTCTTCCAGTTGATCGAATCGGCTACTGAAGCTTGTGCATGCGTCACGTAGTTCTTGTGCCATGGTTTTCAGTCCATCAGGTCATTTAAGGTCTTCTTTGCACTGTTTATTCTAGTTAGCCATTCATCTAATCTTTCTTCAAGGTTTTTAGCTCCTTTGTGATGAGTTTGAACTTCCTCCTTTAGCTCAGAGAAGTTTGTTATTACCGATTGTCTGAAGCCTTCTTCTCTCAACTCATCAAAGTCATTCCCCGTCCAGCTTTGTTCCGTTGCTGGTGAGGAGCTGTGTTACTTTGGAGGAGAAGATGTGCTCTGATTTTTAGAATTTTCAGCTTTTCTGCTCTGGTTTCTCCCCATCTTTGTGGTTTTATCTACCTTTGGTCTTTGATGGTGGTGATGTACAGATGGGGTTTTGGTGTGAATGTCCTTTCTGTTTGTTAGTTTTCCTTCTAATAGTCAGGACCCTCAGCTGCAGGTCTGTTGGAGTTTGCTGGAGGTCCACTCCAGACCCTGTTTGCCTGGGTATCACTAGCAGAGGCTGCAGAACAGCAAATATTGCAGAACGGCAAATGTTGCTGCCTAATCCTTCCTCTGGAAGGTTCGTCTCAGAGGGGCACCCGGCTGTACGACGTGTCAGTCTGCCCCTACTTGGAGGTATCTCCCAGTTAGGCTACTCGGGGGTCACAGACCCACTTGAGGAGGCAGTCTGTCCGTTCTTAGATCTCAAACTCTGTGCTGGGAGAACCACTACTCTCTTCAAAGCTGTCAGACAGGGACGTTTAAGTCTGCAGAAGTTTCTCCTGCCTTTTGTTCAGCTATGCCCTGCTCCCAGAGGTGGAGTCTACAGAGGCAGGCAGGCCTCCTTGAGCTGCGGTGGGCTCCACCCAGTTCGAACTTCCCAGCTGCTTTGTTTACCTAGTCAAGCCTCAGCAATGGCAGATGCCCCTCCCCCAGCCTCACTGCTGCCTTGCAGTTTGATCTCAGACTGCTGTGCTAGCAGTGAGTGAGGCTCTGTGGGCCTGGGACCCCCCCGAGCCACGCGCGGGATATAATCTCCTGGTGTGCCATTTACTAAGGCCATTGGAAAAGTATAGTATTAGGGTGGGAGTGTCCCGATTTTCCAGGTACCATCTGTCACGGCTTCCCTTGGCTAGGAAAGGGAATTCCCTGACCCCTTGTGCTTCCTGGGTGAGACAACACCCCACCTTGCTTTGGCTCACACTCTGTGGACTGCACCCACTGTCCAACAAGCCCCAGTGAGATGAACCTGGTACCTCAGTTGGAAATGCAGAAATCACCGTCTTCTGCGTCACTAACGCTGGGAGCTGTAGACTGGAGCTGTTCCTATTAGGCCATCTTGGAACCAGGAGCCCTTTTTTTTTTTTTTTTTTTTTTTTGAGACGGAGTTTTGCTCTTATAGCCCAGCCTGGAGTGCAACAGTGCAATCTCGGCTCACTGCAATCTCCACCTCCCAGGTTCAAGTGATTCTCCTGCCTCAGCCTCCTGAGTAGCTGGGATTACAGGTGCCTGCTACGACACCGGCTAATTTTTGTTTTTTATTTTTTTGAGATGGAGTCTCACTTTGTAGCCCAGGCTGGAGTGCAGTGGCGTGATCTTGGCTCACTGCAAGCTCTGCCTCCTGGGTTCATGCCATTCTCCTGCCTCAGCCTCCCGAGTAGCTGGGACTACAGGCACCCACACCACGCCCGGCTAATTTTTTGTATTTTTAGTAGAGACGGGGTTTCACCGTGTTAGCCAGGATGGTCTCAATCTCCTGACCTTGTGATCCACCCGCCTTGGCCTCCCAAAGTGCTGGGATTACAGGGGTAAGCCACCATGCCCAGCCCAGGGCTTCTTATTTTGGCTAGCCCTAAACTTCAATAACTGTCCTCCTGTTTAAAAAAGCCATCTTCCTCTGGTCATTCATTCGAGCATGGACAAATTCCCTCCAGGTAAAAAGTAGTCCCAAACACCAATTTATTATCTCTTCTATGCCTATAAGCAGATTTGTTTCTTATTTTCCAGTTGTCCTCATGAGGGGGCTGGACCAAATTGCAAGAAGTGAAACTCTGTTTAACCTGCTGAGTCTCCATTTCCTCTAGATGAAGAACTAGGTAAGCCTCTTGGATTTGGCAACAGGAAAATCATCAGTGACTTTGACATGAGAAGACCTCAGGGAATAGTAGAGATGAAAGTCAGATTGGAATAGGGTGGGCGTGAACAGATTGAGGGAGTACAAACAGCATTTTGGGGGCAACTCTTTCTAGAAGTTTGGCTATGAAGGAAAGCAAAGAAATGAGGTGGAGTATGAAGAGAAATGATATAGGTCAAGGAAGAATTTTAAGAGTGAGAGAGACCAGATCATGTTTGTATGCTGATGGGAACGCCTATGCTGATGCATGTATTTCCCATCCTCATGACAGGTATGTTTCTCACAGTAAATTAACAAGCTGGCTTTCTATGTCTGCCTTACTACTGTTTTAATTAGCATGAGTCAGAGCCCAGGGTCTCAGCTCTAATCAGCTTTTTTTATTCACCATCGCCCAGGCTGGACTGCAGTGGCATGATCTTGGTTTGCTGCAACCTCTGCCTCCCAGGTTCAAGCAATTCTCCTGCCTCAGCCTCCCGAGTAGTTGGGATTACAAGCGCCTGCCACCACACCCGGCTGATTTTTGTATTATTAGTAGAGATGGGGTTTCACCATGTTGGCTAGGCTGGTCTCGAACTCCTGACCTCATGTGATCCACCCGCCTCAGCCACCCTAAGTGCTGGGGTTATAAGCGTGAACCACCACGCCTGGCCTAAACAGCCTTTCTTATCACATCCACAGTCACTTCCATTTCTTTCTCTTTTCACTCCTACCTCATCCTCAGCCCCAGAGCAAGCCCCCACCCAACTCTCACATGATCGGATGCTCCTGACTGAGCTTCCTGCCATCAGGACCATCAGTTTCCAGCCCCCTTTTCATGAAGCTACCAGAGCCATTCACATTTATTGTGTGTCAGGCACTGTTCCATGTGTTGGGCACTCAAACGTGGAAATTTAAACATGTCACCCCCCTACTTAGTCATACCTCTTGCTCCCCAACCCCATTTTCTTTTTCTTTTAATTATTATTATACTTTAAGTTCTAGGGTACACGTGCACAACGTGCAGGTTTGTTACATATGTATACATGTGCCATGTTGGTGTGCTGCACCCATTAACTCATCATTTACATTAGGTATTTCTCCTAATGCTATCCCTCTCCCCTCCCCTCACCCCACGACAGGCCCTGGTGTGTGATGTTCCCCACCTCATGTCCAAGTGTTCTCATTGTTCAATTCCCACCTATGAGTGAGAACATACGGTGTTTGGTTTTCTGTCCTTGCGATAGTTTGCTCAGAATGATGCCCAACCCCATTTTCTAACCTATCTCTCCAACCTCACCCTCCTCACCCTTGGTTTCGCCTCCGCAGCAGGCTGCTACATGAGGTAAGGCTGGCCTGTGTGGGAAAGAGATGCTTGGGTTGCAGACGGTGGGGGCTCTGAGCATCAGAGCTTGAATGTTTGGTCTGGGCCAGCTGGCCCAGTGGCACTCAGTGCCTGGGCAGCCTCTGTTTTCCTTGGCTGAGATCCCCTGGGGCACCATTTGAGCCAGAACTACAGTTCCAGGAGATGAAGGTAGGACAGGCATCCTGGACTGGTGAGCCAGGGCTGGGCTGTGCCAGGGCCTTTGTTTCTAACTTGGTAGAGGCTTTGTGCTTCTGTCCTTTTTCTAAGAACTGTGGATGTGCCACGTGGGCACCACAGTGACCAGAGTCAACAAGAAAAACAATACCCGGGGGAAAATCTTACTTCCTTAAGCCACAGGATTGTGGGGGTGTGTGTCTTTGTGTGCGTCAAAGTTTCCATGTCTGCCACATTATTTTATGTGTTTCTGTATATGCATGTCTTACCTGTGTATGTGCACATGCCTATATGTGTATTTCTTACCTGTTCCTGTGTGTGTATCTTTAGTGACCACAGGGTGGGGTCGCCGAAAGCCACATTTTATCAAAGTACTTCTCTTCTCACTATACATGATAGGAAGGAAGAAAGAAAGGGGAACTGTGAGCTTGCCAGACACCCCCAAAACTGTTCATTGCAATTAGAGAATGGAGGATCCCAGACGGCTCCAAGGGTAGGGATAAAATGGGGAACGAGGCTGGAACCCTCCCCTCTGTCTTGTGAAAGATCAAGCATCCCAGGCATACAAATTTAAGACTTATTCTGTGCCCTAGAGTCCCTGGAAAGTAGAAAAGCAGTCTGAGTAGGGAGATGAGAGATGCTATTTTAGAAAAAGGACAACAGTGGGAAAGCACTTTCCCTGTGGGGAAAGTGCAGGTAGCTGCTGGCACTCTTGCGGCCTGGCCCTGTGTATTCTGTTTGTACAGATCCCAGATCAAAGGTGTGCTAAGGGAAGCCTCTGGAACCACAAATGCTAACAAGTCGTGGTGTGGGAAACAGGTCCCCATTTGAGCGCCAGCCTTGAGGGAGGAACCCTTTCTGTGTAAATAAAGGAGATGCTGGCTACACACACCGTAGCAGCTTTGCATCACGGAGGCTGAACTGGCCAATGAGACATGGACAGGGATTTCAGGGGTCCAGACAAAGTGGACTACTGGAGACCAGCCAGCTTCCAGCTGGTGGAGCATGAGCAGGGTACAAGCCCATCTGTGACAGCAGTATCACACTAAAGAGAGGAGTTCCTCACTCCAAAACAGACCAGTTTTAGACTTTATTTTGACTTATAGTATTTATTTTCTTATTGTGGTAAGAAGCATAAATAATAGAAGGGCTTTGACATCTTAATATATAATAATAGGCCAGGTATGATGGCTCACACCTGCAATCCCAACACTTTGGGAAGCCGAGGAGGGAGAATGGCTTGAGGCCAGAAGTTCAAGACCAGCCTGGGCAACATAGCAAGACGCTATCTCTACAACAACAACAACGACAACAACAACAACAATAACAACAAACTCTTACTTAGTGCTCGCTACATGCCAGGCACTGTTGTGTTTTGTATGAATTAACTCATTTAACTCTCATAACTTAAAATTCATGTTCTGCAAAAAGCACATAGAATTATGTGATTTTTTTCTCTGCTTTGCCTTATTATATCCTGTTAGAAGAAACTGGTCTAGTTTAATAGAAAATAAAACGAACCTTTTGCCCCATTTTGGCACTCAAATATTGACTTTCCCTTCTACAGTACTTCCTTTATCCGCAGGACCAAGAATCTCTCTCCCCTCCACCTCTTTTCCTTAACCAGTTAGACATTTGGAGGCTAGGTTTACAATGGTAGTTTTTCTGTGACTGTCCTGCCCTCTGCTGGATTCAAGAGATAGATTGCTGATACATGGACTTATGGGAGGGGGCCCATTTACCGGAAAGCAGGGCGGATCAGGAGACCGGATTTCCCTCGGGGTTACTTTTGTTCACTAGAAATTTGGTCTAGGAGGTTGTGATCCAGCCTGTGAGTATGCGGTGGAAAGATTCTTGGTGAATACAACTGCCTGGTTTAGAGTTTAGAAGTTGTCTGTGTGTGTGCCTGCTTGTTTCTTTATTTATATATGGATGGAGAGATGTGAGAGACCTCATTTGTCTAGTGTTAAAAACAAAATTTCTATACAAATTGATCTTTAGGAATTGGCAAAATTTATCAACTTGTGAACAAGAGATCAGCAAGGTGACAAAAGCTATACTTTTGGGTATGGGAAAAGCATGGAAATGGATGGATTGTTGGAATACAGAATACTTACATAAGCAACCAGTTCAGGAAGGAAAAAAATCCTCCCCAACTAGGTAAAGATTGTAATTTCTTATACATGGTAACAAAAACATCATATTCCACTTTTTTATTACAGAATAAACATGAATGAGGAGGGTTTGCAATGCCAGCAGCATCGACTGTCAATCAGGGGTTAAAAATCCAATATATCGAAGAAGCAAAGGATAGGTATACCTCTGTGGCTGCTTGCTAGTCATGATAAAGTTTCATTTCTCAAGAATGGTGCCCATGATCACATTGACGTGAATGCATAAACCACGGGCACAGCAGCAAATAACAAGTTCTGACTTGAAACAGGCTACTTGGCACCAGGGATTATGTCAAGCAGCATGTGATGCAGACAGAGTATAGTTTACACTCCCCACCCTCCACTGCCCCACGTTTTCTTTCTTTCTTTTTTATTTTTATTTTTATTTTTTGAGACGGAGTCTCACTGTGTCACCCAGGCTAAAGTGCAATGGTGCAATCTCGTCTCAGGCCAACCTCCGCCTTCCGGGCTCAAGCGAATCTCTTCCCTTAGCCTCCTGAGTAGCTGGGATTACAGGCATGTGCCACCATGCCCAGCTAATTTTTGTATTTTTGGTAGAGATGGGGGGGTTTCACTATGTTGGCCAGGCTGGTCTCGAACTCCTGACCTCAGATGATCCACCCACCTTGGCCTCCCAAAGTGCTGGGATTACAGGCGTGAGCCACCATGCCTAGCCTATTTTAATTTTATTATTATTATTATTTTCTTTAGAGACAGGGTCTCACTTTGTCTCCCAGGCTGGAGCGCAGTGGTGCGATCATGGCTCACTGCAGCCTCAAACTCCTGGGCTCAAGCCAATCCTCCCGCCTCAGCCTCCCAAGTTGCTGGAACTACGGGCGTGTGCCACCATGCCAGGCTAATTTTTCTGTGAAGAAGGGGTCTCTTGCTATGTTGTCCAGCCTTGTCTTGAGCTCCTGGTCTCAAGCAATTTTCCCACCTTGGCTTCCCAAAGTACAGGGATTATAGGTGTGAGCCACCACACCTGGCCAATCAATATGTGCTATTTTTTAGAGAAAAATTAATCAATTTAATTGTACCTGTAATTGACTGAATAAAAGGAAACTGAAGTGAAACCAAAAGAATTGTTGAACTTATGTAAATGTTTCTTTATCACAAAATATATTATTTTCTAAAAGATCTTTCCAAGGTTAAAAAAGGAGAGTAAGAAAAGTATTAAGGGATTGGAGTTATTATTTTGGAGCAATGACTAATAGGCATCTCTTTAACATGTTCTCAATACTATTAGGCTCAAGGACCTCCAAATCTCTTGTAACATCCCTTTTAGTGTTCTGAAATTCATAAGTAATATAATCTACTTACACATTGGGAGGCCAAGGCGGGCGGATCACTTGAGGTCAGGTGTTCGAGACCAGCCTGGCCAACATGGCGAAACCCGTCTCTACTAAAAATACAAAAATTTGCTGGGCATGGTGGTGCGTGCCTGTAATCACAGCTACTTGGGAAGCTGAGGCAGAAGAATCACTGGAACCCAGGAGGCAGAGGTTGCAGTGAGCTGAGATGGTGCCACTGCACTCCAGCCTAGGCAACAGAGTGAGACTCTGTCTTAAAAAAGAAAGAAAAATCTACTTACGCAGATAATGAAAAAATCAATATAATGCTAAATATATAGGAAAAATAAAAATAAATTAATTTGTTATAAAATAGAGTAATATGTAGTTCAATATCAAAATCCTAGGGTGTTACTACAAAAGACATAATGAAGCAATAAGATGCTCACATCTATAAATAATGAACAAGCTTGGATGTAATAGGAGTCATAAGAAGAGAAGCCATTCCATTCAAAATGAAAGCAGAGGTGTGGTGGATATTAGAATAAAACCTGGTGTTAAGTAATCATAGAGAAGATTTATTTGTATAAACAAAATAGAGAAGTAACCTGAATTTAAGAGTAACATGACAAGTACTAGGTAGAGAAAATGAGGACATATGCTATTGTTGCGATGAGCTGGGTCTTCTTTTCAAGGAAGAAGTTATAATAATTTTGTGCTGTTATGGGATAGAATAGTGAAGGAGTATCTCATAAACCATATAACCCATGTTGATATCTCACTACATGTCAAGGCAAGCATGGAGACTCTAAAACATTTGAAACCTTGGAGACCATGTCCTTCAAGAATTGATAGGAAATAGAGGATGATTTGACAAAAGAAGCAGTATTTAAGAGGTTATGGACAAGTTGTATGGCAGACCTTTAGGCACAGAATCAGATAAGACTGAAAGCCATCAGGAAATCTACAAATACATCATTTCAATATGTAATTTCGGAACACAGATTTATTTTATTTATTTATTTATTTATTATTTTTTGGTCACTCGGTCACCCAGGGTGGAGTGCAGTGGTTCGATCTCTCCTCACTGCAACCTCTGCCTCCCGGGTTCAAGGGATTCTCCTGCCTCAGTCTCCCGAGTAGCTGGGATTACAGATGCACACCTATCTGCCTGGCAAATTTTCTTATTTTTAGTAGAGACGGGGTTTCACCATGTTGGCCAGGCTGGTCTCCAACTCCTGAACTCAGGTGATCCACCCGCCTCAGCCTCCCAAAGTGCTGAGATTACAGGCGTGAGCCACCACGCCTGGCCAGATTTATTATTACTGTGCTGCAAATAATTTTTACAATTTATATACAACAGCAATAAAATATTTAAAAATAGGTTTTATGTATGAAGTTCACTGATATCTCTACATTTCATTTGTCACTACAAATGTAATAATGTGTTTGACCTAAAGTCCCGTGACAGGGCGTGGTGGCTCATGCCAGTAATCCCAGCACTTTGGGTGGCTGAGGTGGGAGGATTGCTTGAGCTGGAGGGGTCGAGGCTGCAGTGTGCCACGATCGAGACACTGCACTCCAGCATGGGCAACAAAGCGAGTCCTTGATTCAAAAAAACGCAAAACCAACCAACCAACCAAAATCCTCAATTAACTCTTCCTATAAATTTTGGCTAGTGTTATGTTGGTTTTGAATGTATTAATATCCCATCAGGTATTGCATATTCAGCCTCATCTTAAATCTAATCAACTAATTACATCAAACGAAAGCAACATTGGCTGGGCGCAGTGACTCACGCCTGTAATCCCAGCACTTTGGGAGACCGAGGCGGGCGGATCACGAGGTCAGGAGTTCGAGAACAGCCTGACCAACATAGTGAAATCCCATCTCTACTAAAAATACAAAAAATTAGCCTGGCGTGATGGCAAGAAACCTGTAATCCCAGCTACTCCGGAGGCTGAGGCAAGAGAATCTCCTGAACCCGGGAGGCAGAGTTTGCAGTGAGCCGAGATCGCGCCATTGTGCTCTTCAGCCCGGGCGACAGTGCGAGATTCCGTCTCAAAAAAAAAGCAATCTTTCCAAACCAGTGCTCTTTCTTTTCTTTCTTTTCTTTTCTTTCTTTTCTTCTTTCTTTTCTTTGCTTTTCTTACTACAATCTTATCACCACTACTTTTCTTTTCTTCTTTTGAGACGGAATTTTGCTCTCCTTGCCCAGGCTGGAGTGCAATGGTGTGATCTCGGCTCACCGCATCCACCTCCAGAGGTGAAACGATTCTCCTGCCACAGACTCCCGAGTAGCTGAGATTACAGGCGCCCCCGCCACCACGCCCGGCTAATTTTTTGTATTTTTAGTAGAGACGGGGCTTCACCATGTTGCCCAGGCTGGTCTCGAACTCGCGCGCTGGGAGTACAGGCGCGAGCCACCGCGCTCCGCCCCAGCGCTTTTCTTTTTCAGTACATTTGTGAGCTGTATGGCGCCCGGTGCTTTTTTTCTTTTTCTTTTCTATCTTTCTTTTTTTTTTTTTTTTTTTTTTGAGACGGAGTTGCGCTCTTGTTTTCCATGCTGGGGTGCAATGGCGCGATCTCGGCTCACCGCAACCTCCGCCTCCTGGGTTCAAGCGATTCTCCTGCCTCAGGCTCCCGAGTAGGGATTACAGGCATGCGCCACTACGCCCGGCTAATTTTGTATTTTTAGTAGAGACGGGGGTTTCTCCATGTTGGTCAGGCTGGTCTCGAACTCACGACCTCAGGTGATCGCCCGCCTCGGCCTTCCAAAGTGTTGGGATTACAAGCGTGAGCCACCGCACCCGGCTCCGGCCTGCTTTTAAACAGTCTTCCTCCTGATGCGTATTTCTCTGGGGCAGGGGCATAAACTCCGCCCTCTGACAGCCCCTGAGGGCTCCGCCCCTACGCGAACCTCGCCCCTACTCTTCGTTCACTCTATCTCCAGAGCGGGAGCCAGACGCCGACCCAAGCGGAAGTGACGTTAGGTGTCCGCCGGAGGTGTCGTTGGTGTGTTGCGCGACTGGCCTTGAGGGAGAGCTGGGGCCTGCTCCCGGAGAGATACGGCTATGTCGATCGAAATCGAATCTTCGGAGTGAGTCCTGCGGTGGGGATGTTCGCGCCTTGCCGGGGGCCTGGAGGTTAAGGGTGTGGGGCGGAGGGTACTCGGGAGAAGGCATCCGAGAGGCCAGGGAGTGGAGGGCCATTTCCTTGCCCCCAAAGAAGCATCTTGGATCTCGCTACCTCGGAGGTGGGCCCACAGGAAAGTAGCAGCTCTCAGACGTGAAGCCCAAAACCTCGAGGGAGGTGGCACGGGTGGGGAAAACACACCTTGCAGACCTAAGTTCTGTCCTTGGCCGACTGCTGGCGCGCTGTGATTGACCAAATTAAGGATCCACTCTGGACTCCAGTCTAATTATCTGCGCAAGGGGATAGGTCTCTTTAAGCCTTGCTTCTCTCCCTGTCCAGCTTATGCAATGTGATTCGTTGTCTCTGCTTATACGGCCCCTTTGCTTTTCTCTGCCTAGCGTTTATCACTCAGTATTGTCACTGTTTGATAACCTCACCCCAAACTAGCCTTTGTCGGTGCCTAGGAGCTCCTTTTCCTTGTGGTCTCAGTGTCTAGCATACCTTAGAGGAAGAGTTAATTGCTTTTGGAATGAATGAACAACTAGCTTTTGGAATGAATGAACAACTATCAGGCCCGATCTGGCACGGAATTTTGGGTTGTCTGGGGAGAGACAGACTGGAGACTGGGCTAGAAAGAAAAATTTTCAAGGAATAGGGGATGAGAATTAGTGACTAAAGAAGACCTTAGTGTGCTTTTCCAGAACTCCATCCTCCACCTGTCCTTGCCAACACTTAATAATAATTAAATTAACAGACATAAAAATTGTGTCTGAGTGTAAGGGAGGGAGAGGACCTTTTTTGGAGACTTTTCATAGGAGGAAGGGAGGTTTATGCATTCAGCAAATACTGAAATGATGTTAACCTACTTGTCCAAGGTCACATAACTTTGATTCAAATCCCAGACTATCTTCAAAGCTTCTAGCTCTTTATGTATTCATTTCTGTTTGAAGGTAGGGAATTTGATTTTGGCTATGTCAAATGTGAGCTGTTTGAGGAGAGAGATGACTTATTTTGGGAGTGTAAAATGGAAGTCAACGGACATGTGCTAAGGAAGATAGTATCATAGCAGAATAACAGGGGTCTAAGTCTGGATACCTGCATACCTCATAAAGGGGCCATGAGAGAAAAAGACTACTGCAGGTAGCAGCAATCAGTTCCCTTTTTTTTTTTTGAGACGGAGTCTCACTCTGTCACCCAGGCTGGAATGCAGTGGCGCGATCTCCGCTCACTGCAAGCACCGCCTCCCACGTTCACGCCATTCTCCTGCCTCAGCCTCCCGAGTAGCTGGGACTACAGGCGCCCACCACCATGCCCGGCTAATTTTTTTGTATTTTTAGTAGAGACGGGGTTTCACCGTGTTAGCCAGGATGGTCTCGATCTCCTGACCTTGTGATCTGCCCGCCTCGGCCTTCCAAAGTGGTGAGATTACAGGCGTGAGCCACCGCGGCCGGCCTATAGTTGTTTTTAAGAAGAGGGGCCAGGTGCGGTGGCTCACACCTGTCATCTCAACACTTTGGGAAGCTGAGGTGGATGGATCACTTGAGCCCAGAAGTTTGAGACCAGCATGGTCAACATGGCAAAACCACGTCTCTACAAAAAATACAACAATTAGCCAGTGTGGTGGTGCATGCCTGTGGTCTCAGCTACTCGGGAGGCTGAGGTGAGAGGATCACCTGATCCCAGGAGGCCCAGGCTGCAGTCAGCCACAATCACGCCACTATTCTGTCCAGCCTGAGCGATGCAAGTGACCATTTCTCAAAAAAAAAAAAAAAAAAGAGGATGTTTGCTTTCTCCTCAGGAATACATGCTCTAGAGCCACACTGCCAGTTTGAGTCCTGATTTTTCCACTTATTATCTCTATTATCTGATCAAATCCTCATCTGTAAATTGGGGATAAAAGTAAACTTACCTCATAGGTTTTATTTTATTTATTTTTTTGAGACAAGGTCTTGCTCTCTTTCCCAGGCTAGAGTGCAGTGGCATGATCACGGCTCACTGCAGCCTCAACCTTATGGATACAAGCAATCCTCCCACCCCAGCTTCCCAGGTAGCTGGGACCACAAGCACACACTATCATGCCTAGCTAATTTTTTTTTTTGTGTGTGTGTGTGTGTAGAGAAGGGGTCTTCTTATGTTGCCCATGCTGGTCTTGAACTCATGGGCTCAAGGGATCCTCCCACATCAACATCCCAAGTAGCTGGGACTACAGGCACATGCCACCATGTTTGGCTAATTTAAAAAAAAATTTGTAGAGATGGGGTCTCACAGCTGCCTGATCTGGTCTCAAACCTCCTGGTTTCCAGCCAATCCTCCTGCCTCAGCCTCCCAAATTACTGAGATTACAGTCATGAGCCAGCATGCCCAACCTCATTTAGATTATTTTGTATAAATAACTAGTCTAGTCATTTAAAGTATTTCAGTGAAGTGTGCTACAATATAATTACAAGAATGAATAGGAAACTAGGCTCTGGATTAGGAAATAAGATAGTCACCTTGACACCAACTCCCTTTCTAGCTGACTGAGACATTAGGCAAATGATTTCCTTTCCTTGAACCCCAGTTCTGTCTCTATGGTTAGGGGGGGTCCCCTTATAATTTAGATTCTGTGATTTTGGAAAATTTTACTCACATGATAAAGAAATAGTAGTGAAAGGAAGATGATTGAGTAGGAGCTTGATAGGCTTTATTTTTGACCTCTGGTGAGTGAGAATCCCTGAGCTGAACGATTTGTTTTCTTTCAGTGTGATCCGCCTTATTATGCAGTACTTGAAGGAGAACAGTTTACATCGGGCGTTAGCCACCTTGCAGGAGGAGACTACTGTGTCTCTGAATACTGTGGACAGCATTGAGAGTTTTGTGGCTGACATTAACAGTGGCCATTGGGATACTGTGTTGCAGGCTATACAGTCTCTGAAATTGCCAGACAAAACCCTCATTGACCTCTATGAACAGGTAAGAGTGGTGGTGATGCTGATCCCCATGGGTTGGTTCGTTGTGGGCCAGCTCCCCAACTAAAAAGCGTCAGTGAGCATTCCTTCAAGCACGGTAGGGCTGCATCAGCCCATACAACAATGGCAAGGCTTGACATTGTATTTTTTCTCCCTTCTTGGAAAATCCAGGATTTCCCAAATTAAAATTCTTTCCTTTTTTTGAGACTGGATCTTGTTCTGTTACCCACTCTGGAGTGCAGTGGCAAGATCACAGCTTGCTGCATCCTCCATTTCCAGGATCAATCCTTCCTCCTGCCTCAGCCTCCTGAGTAGCTAGGAACACAGGCACGCACCACCACGCCTGCCTAATTTTTGCATTTTTCTGTAGAGACAGGATCTCACCATAATACCCAGGGTGGTCTCAAACTCCTGGGCTCAAGCAGTTCGCCAGCCTTGACTTTCCAAAGGGCTGGGATTACAGGCACGAGAGAGCCTCAACTTTCTAATCACATAGTTAGTCTTTCTGATAACTAGCTCCTACCTATCCTGAGCCATTTCCTTTGCACAAACCCAGGTGTGATTCAAGGGGCCCAGGAGTAACAAAGATACCCCTATCACTGGTCAAATTCCAAGAAGCTCCAAGCCAAGAACCTAGGACAAAGATCAGACAAATTTGTGATTATAAAACAGCAGAGTAGACTTTCTGGAAATAAGATTGTAATTTGAAGTAAAAGTAGTGAAATTGGTTTTTGGTTTTTGTTTACGGGTTTTTTTTTTTGTTTTTTTTTTGAGACAGAGTCTCACTGTGTTACCCAGGCTGGAGTGCAGTGGTGCGATCTCTGCTCACTGCAACCTCCATCTCCGGGGTTCAAGCGATTCTCCTGCCTCAGCCTCCCGAGTAGCTGGGATTACAGGCGTGCATCACCACGCCCAGCTAAGTTTTGTGTTTAGTAGAGACGGGGTTTCACCACATTGGCCAGGCTGGTCTCCAACTCCTGACCTCAAGTGATCCACCTGCCTCAGCCTCCCAAATGCTGGGATTACAGGTGTGAGCTGCCGTGTCTGGGCAGTTTGTTTCTTTACAATCCGTATGAGTTCAATAATTCCCAAAGAAAATTTTGGTAACTGGAGAAAGGTTTCTCTGGAGCCCATGGGTATATTCCCATCTTTAGCTTTCTTTGGCATCTACATTCTGAGCAAGAAGCCTGAGAGGAGGGGAGATTGGTAGATAAAAATGAAGGATAGAGTTTGAAGGATTGAAATTATTATTTATTTATTTATTGAGACAGATCTCGCTCTGTCGCCCAGGCCAGAGTACAGTAGCATGAGCTTGGCTCACTGCACTCTCCGCCTCTCGGGTTCAAGCAATTCTCCTGCCTCAGCCTCCCAAGTAGCTGGAATTACAGGCATATACCACCACACCCAGCTAATTTTTTTTGTATTTTTAGTAGAGAGTCTGTTTCACCACGTTGGCCAGGCTGGTTTCGAACTGCTGACCTCAAGTGATCCGCCCATCTTGGCCTCCCACAGTGTTAGGATTATAGGCATGAGCCACCAAGCCCACCAAGTCCACCTGAAATTGCTAGTGAAAATGGAAAGGGGCACTTCCTGGTATTGGAAATCCTTTGACAGGCCATATCTGTGTTAGATATTTTACCGAAAAATATTAATAAGACGGTGTGTTGAAACATCTGGGGTTTTTTTTGTTTTTTTTTAATTGTCCAGGTTGTTCTGGAATTGATAGAGCTCCGTGAATTGGGTGCTGCCAGGTCACTTTTGAGACAGACTGATCCCATGATCATGTTAAAACAAACACAGCCAGAGCGATATATTCATCTGGAGAACCTTTTGGCCAGGTCTTACTTTGATCCTCGTGAGGTATGACTGTGGTAATGAAAAGGAACTTTTTGTTAACTTTGGAAATGAAATAACATGATCTTTTTTTTTTTTTTTTACCATTTTATTGTATACTCTTTGTGATTTTGATTTAATTTTTGAGAATGATGCTTCTCTGTTTATATATGTTGGCTGAAATTTGCGTATGTTAAAGAGAATAATTTTGTTCAGTTTTCTGATTATTTGAGTCTTCTATACACCTCAGTTTAGAGGATTGCGTGTTGGTTAGTAAAAAAAGCAGAACATTTTATTCTGATGTCATTTCCACATTAGCCCTCCCCGAAGTGCTGCCTGACTGCTGGTATGTTCACTGATCATTTGTGTGTCTTGCCCCTAACAATTGTAGTTTCCTTCTAGCCTTTTTAGTCCCTAGAAGCTTTTGTTTCTTCGCGGATTATGCTTACCAGTAGAGCATGATGATAGTCTTTTATTCTTCCAAAACGTTATTATCTGTATAGTTTCATTCTTCCTAAACCTTATTATCTGTATGGTTTCATTCTTCCTGCCCACCCCCCCAGCCTTTTACTAGAGGTTTGTCAAAATAGGAGGAAAAAGGATTAAAAAAAATTTTTTATGGGTACATAGTAGGTGTATATATTTATGGGGTACATGAGATATTTTGATATAGGCATGCAGTGCATAATGAGGGTAAATGGAGTATCCATCACCTCAAGCATGTATCCTTTGTGTTACAAACAATTCAATTCTTTCAGTTATTTTAAAATGTATAATTATTATTGGCTATAGTCACCCTGTTGTGCTATCAAATACTATTTCTTATTTATTCTTTATATTTTTTGTATCTATTAACCATCCCCACTTTCCTTCTTACCCCCGCCACCTCCACCCTTCCCAGCCTCTGACAACCATCCTTCTACTCTCTATCTCCATGTTTTAATTTTTAGTTCCTGCAAATAAATGAGAACATGCAAAGTCTGTCTTTCTGTGCCTGGCTTATTTCGCTTACCATAATGAGCTCTAGTTACATGCATGTTGTTGCAAATGACAGGATTTCATTCTTTTATATGTCCAGCTAGTACACCATTGTGTACATGTACCTCATTTTCTTTATTTATCTGTTAATGGTCACTTATCGTTGCTTCCAAATCTTGCCTATTGTGAACACTGCTGTAATAAACATGGGAGTGCAGATATCTCTTTGATATACTGATTTCCTTTTGGGTGTGTACCTAGCAGTGGGATTGCTGGATCATATGGTACCTCCATGTTTAATTTTTTGAGGAATCTCCAAACTATTCTCCATAGTGGTTGTACTAATTTACATTCCCACTAATAGTGTACGAGGGTTCCTTTTTCTCCACTTACTCACCAGCATTTGTTATTTCCTGTCTTTTTGTATAAAAGCCATTTTAACTGGAGTGAGATGATATCTCATTGTAGTTTGATTTGCATTTCTCTAATGATCAGTTGTGTTGAGCACCTTTAAATAAACCTGTTTGCCTTGTGTGTGTCTTTTTTTGAGAAATGTCTATTCAGATCTTTCACCCATTTTTAACATTGGATTATCAGATTTTTTTCCCGTAGAGTTGTTTGAGCTCCTTATATATTCTGGGTTTTGTTGTTGTTGTTGTTGTTGTTTTTGAGACAGAGCTCTGTTACCCAGGCTGGAGTGCAGTGGCGTGATCTCGGCTCACTGCAGCCTCCGCTTCCTGGGTCCAAGTAATTCTCGTGCCTCAGCCACCAAGTAGCTGGGATTACTGGTGTGTGCCACCACACTCAGCTAATTTTTGAGTTTTCAGTAGAGATGGGGTTTCGCCATGTTGGCCAGGTTGGTCTCGAAGTCCTGGCCTCAAGCAGTCCACCCGCCTCGGCCTCCCAAAGTGCTAGGATGACAGGCATGAGCCACCACACTTGGCCCTGTATTCTGGTTATTTATTTATTTGTTTATTTATTTTTCTGAGACAGAGTCTTGCTGTTGTCTCCCCGGCTGGAGTGCAATGGCACGATCTTAGCTCACTGCAACCTCCACCTCCCAGGTTCCAGGAATTCTCCTGCCTCAGCCTCCCGAGTAGCTGAGATTACAGGCACCCACCACTATGGCCTGGCTAGTTTTTCTATTTTTAGTAGCGACAGAGTTTCACCATGTTGGCCAGGCTGGTCACAAACTCCTGACCTCGGGTGATCTGCCAGCCTCAGCCCCCGAAAATGTTGGGATTACAGGCGTGAGCCACCCTGCCCAGCCATATTCTGGTTATTAATCCCTTGTCAGATGGGTAGTTTGCAAGTATTTTCTCAGGAGGAAGAAGAACTTAATAGGCACTGGATAATAGAATGTTAGAGTAAACCTACAAAATCTATGAGGATAAAGGAAAGGATTTTAGATTACCAGGACAGGATTTAACTTAGAGGTGGTGAAGCACTTCTGTGCTGGGAGCCATTTAAGAAATTACTAAAGAGTATAAAAGAATTCTTGGTTCTGCAAATTTTTCAAAAACTGGAAGAACAACTCTGGGTTTAATGTGGTTTACTTGGACTCTTTTCAGAAAAATAGCAGTGTGTCCTTTGGCCAGGAACTCAGTGAAAAAATAATAATAGTGTGGATTGGCTGACCTCAGTTTTCTCCCAACTCATACTTTTGAAATGCAAGCGGGCAGAATTGGGAAGTCATTTTCAAAAACTAAATTAGTTCAACTAATCCCTTCTTTAACTGGGTAATTTCTTTTCACATTTTCCTCTGTGTATGCTTCTGCTTGTTTGTTTTAAATAAGCACACTCATATCTTGTTGTTGCTTCTTGGAAATGATGCTACACCCTCTCCTTTTTCAGGCATACCCAGATGGAAGTAGCAAAGAAAAGAGAAGAGCAGCAATTGCCCAGGCCTTAGCTGGCGAAGTCAGTGTGGTGCCTCCATCTCGTCTCATGGCATTGCTGGGACAGGTAATTCAATTCCTGTAGAGGCCAGGTGTGGTGGCTCACACCTGTCATCCTTGCACTTTGGGAGGCTGAGGCAGGAGAATCACTTGAGCCTAGTAGTTGGAGACCAGCCTAAGCAACATTGTGAGACTCTGTCTCTACAAAAAGTAAAAAAATTAGCGGGTTATGGTGGGGTGTGCCTGTGGTCTCAGTTACTTGGGAGGCTGAGGTGGGACAATCACTGGAGCCCAGAAGATTGAGATGACAGCTATGATCATGCCATTATACTCCAGCTTGGGCAACAGAGTGAGACCCTGTCTCCAAAAATAAAAATAAATTTAAAAAGTGAACTCCTGGTACAATTTCCTAATTTCCTATGTATAAACTATGTCTTAGCTGAAGAAATTGTACACCCTAAGAATTGGGGACTACCTACAGAGTTGCTTATTCCAGTAACTGTGCTGTTCCACTCTCCCTCTTTCCTGGGAGAGGCAATATAGATTAGTGGTTAAGAACAAGCTCTGGAGTCAGTTAGAATTAGGGTTACCATAGAATTTATCATCCTGTCTGGAATATCGTTGAGAGTACAGTTGATCCCTATGCCAGAACACCAAGTGCAAATAGTAACTGTCCTGGAAAGATTGGAACAAATGCCCATCCTAGTTAGAATCCAGGCTTTCTCATTTACCAGCTATATAGTCTTGGCAAATTACTTAACTTTTCTGGTCCCATTTACTCGTCACAGTATTGAGAGTAAGGATTAAGAGAAATAATGTTCATAAACACTTTATACATTTCCTGGCACCTTGTAAATAGTAAATGGTAGCTGCTGGTGATGATTTTTTAAAAAATTACTAATAGTGTTGCCAGCATGGTCATTATTATAAAGCTACTTAGAGTAATAGATATATTATAAATAACAAAGGGCACAAGTGATTAATAGGGATGTTAATAACCTTTTTGCACTAAATCTGCATTTAGAAAAGGACCAAAAAGCTATTTGTTGCAGGCCTGCAGTGACTCTGAGATTCAAAAGTAAGCTGCTTTTTGGCCTGGCGTGGTGGCCCATGCCTGTAATCCCAGCACTTTGGGAGGCCAAGGTGGGTGGATCACCTGAGATCAGGGGCTCGAGATGAGCCTGGCCAACATGGTGAAACCCCGTCTCTACTAAAAATACAAAAATTAGCTGGGCGTGGTGGCAGGAACCTGTAATCTCAGCTACTCGGGAGGCTGAGGCAGGAGAATCACATGAACCCAGGAGGCAGAGGTTGCAGTGAGCCGAGATTGAGCCATTGCACTCCAGCCTGGGAGACAAGAGCGAGACTTCATCTCAAAAAAAAAAAAAAAAAAAGTAAGCTGCTTTTTGATTTCTTAATCAAACTAATAGCAGTGCATCGTTTAAGTAGTACTTCAGGGCTTACAGTGAAAAACAGTCCCATGTGCTTCCCTTCTCCACCTCTGATTCTTAACTTTCCTGACTTAGCTCCATAGCTGAATACCATGTTTATACTGTTATTACCTGATTTTTTTTTTTTTTTTTTTTTTTTTTTGGTCATTAGCAACTAACTTTCTTCAGCGAAAAATGATTTGTCTTATACCCACTCTCCTCAATACACACTTACTCTTCTTCTGGATTTTCAGTAGAGCTGTATCACAACTTTTGGTTCAATCTATATTCAATGTTTACATAGTTATTTTTATATAGCTATTGTTCACAGCTAAAAAATAATTACATGTAATTTCTTACATAAATTTTTATGATTTGCAATAATTATTGCTTATTTTTTCTTTTGCCTAGTTTTCTATGCACTTCTGCTAGTCCAGCCTGAGTATTTCTAGTAGAACCGTCAAAAGTCCTTTTTTTTCCGCTTGCTGATATCTTTCCTGAGGCCCTTCTCTTTTTGTTCCCATCAGGACTAGTTCTCTTGCATTGCTGCACAGTTACTGTACCAGGACTTCTCTCATCTTCATACTGGGAATTTTGGGTCTCTTATTTTTTTGGTAGGTCTTATTTATAGATTCCTCAGTTTTCTTTTTTTTTTTGAGACAGAGTCTCACTCTGTCGCCAGGCTGGAGTGCAGTGGCACGATCTTGGCTCACTGCAACCTCCGCCTTCTGGGTTCGAGCAATTCTCCTGCCTCAGCCTCCCGAGTAGCTGGGACCACAGGTGCCCACCACCATGCCCAGCTAATTTTTGTATTTTTAGTAGAGACGGGGTTTCACCATGTTGGCCAGGATGGTCTCGATCTCTTGACCTCGTGATCTGCCCACCTCGGCCTCCCAAAGTTTTGGGATTACAGGCGTGAGCCACCGCACCCAGCCTTTTTTTTTTTTTTTTTTTTAATTAAATGGAACACAGAGCCTTGCTGTGTTGCCCAGACTATCCTGCCTCTGCCTTCCTAAGTACTGGGATTACAGGTGTAAGCCGCTGAGCCCAGCCTAGACCCTCATTTTGTGGGAGTACTGAGTCCAGTAACTTCCTGAGAAAGGAAGCATAGAAATAAATTTTTGAGATTTTATTTGTGTCTGTAATACCGTGTATCTTTCTTTCTCTTTAAATGTTTAAAGTTTTATTATCCTTCCTGCATTGTCCCTGTATTCCTATTTTTTCTTTTTCTCTGAGTTTTCCCCTTCCCTGTTTGTTTTGCTGACCATATGTGGGAGTTTTCCTCAAATATTTAGAGCTCTCTGCTATGGTATGTCAGGTTGGGTGGTTGGAAAGAGGAGTTTGAGAACTGATAGACTTCAGCCTGGGATGATAGGATGGGGATCCTCATTTGTCATTCTCTGCAGAAATGTTCTCTTGGGCTGGTCAGCTTTTCCAGAGAGTAGTTCCTGCTTGGAGAGTAGTTCTTGCCTAAACCATATCTTGAGAGTGAGAGCTGAGAGGATGCAGGTAGGAGTGGAGGATAGAGAAATCTCACTGTTCAGCATACCAGTGTACACTGAAGCCCCCAGTTTTCATTGTGGCTTCTCACCTCCACCCTGTCCTCAGCTCTACTGAGATTTTCAGAGCCTAGGACCTCAACCTTTCCAGAATATACATCACCTGATTTCTCTTGAGGCTAAGGCGAGGTGGTTGCTCAGGGTTGGGAGAAGTCGTGGTAGCTAAATGCTCCTTATGCAGACTTTAATATTGCCCCTGTTTTCAGCCCTGAAGCATGCCTTGTGCTTGAAGGGTATGTGATTCCTCCAGTTCCTAAGCCTTTTTGGAGTTTTGCAAGGTAGTTTGGCTTGCTTCTTGTGGCTTCCCCTTCTTCACCTTGTACAATTAGGTTTCGGTTTTCTCTGTTTTTGGTTTCCACTAGTCCATTCACTTTTCACCTTCTAAAATTTAACTAACATTTTTTTCTTGCTGTTCTCCCATTCTCTTTGTCTTTTGGGGCATGTATCTTTTTTATTCCTTAATTACCATCACTTCAGTGGATTTTCTAGAGACAGTGGAAATAAACTCATGTGTTCTACATTTAATTGGTTAGATGTGAAGAGCAAGTGAGGTTTTGGTTCTAGGTTTCGTTTCCCTTTAGTTTCTGGTTTGAGTGACTTGGTAGAAAATATAAGAAGGACAGATTTGTTGGGGGCTGGGGTAGAAACTAGGGATAGGGGAAATGATCCGTTTTTAGATGTTTTGAAGTTCCTGTGGGACATACAAGTGGAAACTTGCAGTATAGGCCCTTGGATCTGTGAATCTGGACCTTAACCTAGAGGTTTTGGCTAAAATTATAGATTTGGAAATTATAGTAGTAGTTGAAGCTGTAAATGTAATTACCTAGGGAAAGCATGTAGAAGAAGAAAAGTAAAATGTGGCCGGGTGTGGTGGTTCACATCTGTAATCCCAGCACTTTGGGAAGCCCAGGTGGGTGGATCAACCGAGGTCAGGAGTTGGAGACCAGCCTGGCCAACGTGGCGAAACCTTGTGTCTACTAAAAATAGAAAAATTAGCTGGCCATCATGGCGTGCGCCTGTAATCCCAGTTACTTGGGAGGCTGAGGCAGAAGAATCACTTGAACCCGGGAGGCAGAGTTTGCAGTGAGCCAAGATCGCGCCACTGCACTCCAGCCTGGGTGACAGAGTGAGACTCTGTCTCAATTAAAAAAAAAAAAAAGAAAAAATATATTTAGCAAAGAAACTTTGGAAAGGAAGAATGTTGAGAGCATACTAGTCTTAGAAATACTGCATTTAATAAAGACCTATAATTTGCATCATTTTGGTAGTGGACACAAGAACATCTGTTGCAACCAGTGCAACAACAGTGCAAAAACCCAATTCTGTTATTTATAATAATTCCACGGATGACAATGGGGAATACCACAAAACCTAGGAATAAGAGAAAAATACATTTAGTATATGATGTTGGGACACTGACTTTAGAATTGCGGGGGAGAGGTCAGATCAGAGCCTGCTCCCATATTTTATGTAGCATAATTTCAGATAGAAAGTTAGATATTTTAAGATAATAGAAAAACACTGGGAGATAATATAATCTATCAAACCTGATAGTCTTCCCAAACTTAGAGATTAAACACCAAGGAAAAGGTAAACAGATTTCATCACTCGAGAACGGAACTTAAGATGAAAAGAAACCTATAAAGCTATAATCCAAAATAGACATAGTCACAGCTACTTGGAAGGCTGAGACAGAAGGACTGCTTGAGCCCAGGAGTTCAAGGCTGCAGTGAGTTGTGATCATGCCACTTTTCCAGCCTGACAGAATGAGAACCCCTCTCTTTAAAAAAAAAAAGTTGGTAAAAGAATTCTTTGCAGCAAACATAAACAACAAATACCTTTATCACGTTAAAGCTCACTAATTGGTGAGAATGGTAAGACCATGATAGATAAGTGAGCAAATAACATGAATAAACAGTTAACAGAAGAGGAAATATATCTAATGAATACAGAGAAAAGTTCAACTCATTAATCAGAGAACTGACTAAAGTAGGGTATTCTATTTCTACTTATTAAATTAGCTAAAATTTTTAAATCAGTGGTCCCCAACATTTTTGGCACCAAAGACTGGTTTCGTGGAAGACGATTTTTCCACAGATGGTGGTGGGGGTGTCAGGGGGGTGGGTTTGGGATGAAACTCTTCCATCTAAGATCATCAGGCATTAGATTCTCATAATGAGCATGCATCCTAGATCCCTCGCATGCGCATTTCAAAATAGGGTTCATGCTCCTATGAGAATCTAATGCTGCGCAGATCTGACAGGAGGTGGAGCTCAGACTGTAATGCTCTTGCTCCCTGGCTACTCACCTCCTGCTGTACAGCTGGGTTCCTAACAGGCCGTGGACCAGTACTGGTCTGCAGTTCAGGGGTTGGGGACCCCCGTTTTAAATGATACCAAAAATTATTGAGTTTTCTTGGAATAACAAAAGGAAAGGGGAATAAACATTGATTGTGTGCTTATTATGTGAACATGTGCTTATTATACAGGCTTCACTTATATTATTTTGTTTTATCCTCTATGAATTAGGCTTTTTTTTTTGGAGACAGTCTCACTCTGTTGCCCAGGCTGGGAGTGCAGTGGTGCGATCTTGGCTCACTGCAACCTCTGCGTCCCGGGTTCAAGCAATTTTCCTGCCTCAGTCTCCCAAGTAGCTGGGATTACAGGCATGCACCACCACGCCTGGCTAATTTTTGTAATTTTAGTAGAGATGGGGTTTCACCATGTTGACCAGGCTGGCCTGGAACTCCTGACCTCAGGTGATCTGCCCACCTTGGCCTCCCAAAGTGCTGGAATTACAGGCGTGAGCCACCATGCTTGGCCCCCGAATTAGGCTTTTTTTCCCGACTTTTTCAGTTGGCAAAACTGGGAGTCAAAATGACATAGCTGGTGAATGAGTTAGCCTAGGACCATCTGTCTCCAAAGTTCATTATTTCACCCCTCATAATGCAGTTGTGAACACTAGTGCAACTGCAACTTTTTTTGGAAAGCAGCTCTTTTGGAAAGGAGTTTGGCAGTATATATCAAATATATCAAGAGCCTTAACCATTCATGTTCTTTTTTGGATTTGGTAATTTCTTTTCCAGGAATATACCCTAGGAGGGGAATATCCCCAAAATAGAAAAAGCTTTATGTCCAAAGATGTTCATTGCAGCATTATTTAGGTGATTGAAAAATTGGAAGCAGTGTAAATGTCCACTAATATATTGATTATGTTAACTGTGAGACATCTACTAGATGGGATATATTTTACAGCCATTAAAATGATAGCTGTGACTAATATGACCTGTTGATAGGTGAAAACAGGAGAAAATAAAATTTTACATATAGTATAATTACAACTAGGTTAATGAAACACATATGTGGGGGGGGAAGATTGGAAGGTAGTATATAAAATGTTAATAGTGGGTGTGTTTGAGTGTTAGAACTATGGGAGATCTTTGTTTTCCAAGTTTTGTTTATAACAAAAGAGCCACTCCTGTAAGAAAATAGGTGGATGATAGACTTGTTGGCTCTCAGGTCCCCTTCACCCTTAGATCAGCCTGTGTTCTTGGACACACAGGGGAGCACAGATTACTTTATGTTTGGATGGCCAAAAATAGTTGGGGTTTAGATGGCTCACAGCTTTCTCTGAACCTCATCCTTTCGGGCTTGGTTTCTGAGCACTTATGACCAGATCTTAAAAGCACCTGAACAGATTGCTATATTTTTTTTTTTCCTCATAGGCACTGAAGTGGCAGCAGCATCAGGGATTGCTTCCTCCTGGTATGACCATAGATTTGTTTCGAGGCAAGGCAGCTGTCAAAGATGTGGAAGAAGAAAAGTTTCCTACACAACTGAGCAGGCATATTAAGGTAGGATCCTAAGACATTCAGCCAGTCAGTAATCATTTGTTGAGGACTTGTCATGGGCTCAGCCAGGCCCTGTGCCAGGGGCTTGGATAATTGAGGGGGAGAACTCATTCTCCAGCTCTGACAATATTCAAGGTTGCTGCAGGTGTCCACTGGGATACTGCTGTGGCCTGGGAGTGGTACACCTCAGATGTGTCATCTAATGGATGGACATCTAGCTTGACATCTAGCCCACCATCTGCCCTTGCACTTCTTCCCAAGAAGCCTGCATTTGGAAGAATGGTTAGTTCTTTTTTGGTTACACCTGGGACTGTGAACTTTGTATGTACTTCTTCTGTTTACCATTTTTATTTTGCCTGCTATGTGTCAGGCAGAGTGCCAGTGAGGGATTACAAAGTGGGCTTATGTGATGTTTGAGGAAAATGATTTTATCTTCCTATGGTGTGGTTTTTTAAAATTTTTTATTTATTTTTATTTTTTTAAATCTGAGAGTTTTCTAGGAAAAAGTGTTCTAGGTAATTCCCAGAATTACAAGTGTATTTGCTACTTTAGCATCTCTATATTACAGTTTCTCTGGATTTGTGCTCTAAATTCCTGGATTTTAAAATATTTCATATTCCTCAAATCTTTGACTTTGGGTTAACATTTTGGGTTTGCCTTTTCTGGATTATATATTCTAACTTGCAGATAAAGATATTTTTAAGCAGCACCTTTATTTACTCTGCCTGAAACCTTGAGACAAATAGAAATCCATCATTATTATGCTGCTGGGCTAAGATTTTCTGTTATAAACACTTTCCTTTTTTGGCATTTAAGGTGAAATCCACATTAGAGCTTTTCTTTGTTCTTTCTACCTAATTTTCTGTAGTTTTCATCTGTTATTGGGAGCATCCTCACTAGCAAATGCTCAGAATGCATTTATCAGACAGTATATTAGCTTTAATTAGTTCTTCTAAGTTTGGTCAGCTACACATTATCACTTCATTAAATGAAGGTTGTGAAACACTGATAGAAAGTTTATTTACAAAATAATATAGGGAAACATACATTTAGTTTGAAAAAATGAGTTTTTTCCCCCTGAGATACACAACAGGAACATATTAGGCCATACTGAGTGTGAAAGTCACGCTAACAGTGGCTGATTCTAGCAAAACATTACAGTCTGAGCTAACAGGATTACTTGTTCTAAGTCCCATGTTAAAATAGCTTTTGTCCTTTCCTTTGGAAATATCAATCTCACATTCAAAAAACTAGCTTCAACTTAGTGCCTGGACTTAAAACTAAGTCAGAGAAAAATACATCCACCCAGCTCCCTGCGTCCAGGTACAGAAATACCCCTCCAATACTCTATAATATGGGCCAGCTATGACTTTATGCTAGGGCAGGGTTTCTCAAAAGGTTAAAAAAGGAATTGTTTTAAGTCCACTAGATAAAAATGCATCTGTTTCATTGTTTCATTTGAAACAGTTTGGTCAGAAATCACATGTGGAGTGTGCTCGATTTTCTCCAGATGGTCAGTATTTGGTCACTGGGTCTGTTGATGGATTCATTGAAGTATGGAACTTTACTACTGGAAAAATCAGAAAGGTAAAGTATTTTAAATGTGTTAACCTTCCTAGTGGAAAAATTACCTGCTTTGAATTACTTACCTATGGCCTCTAAATCAGATTAGTTGAAAAAGGATCTGTATGTAATGAACATGTATTACTTTTGTAATTAAAAAACTCATTTAAAGCTAGGGACAGTGGTGCACACCTGTGGTCCTAGCTACTGAGGAGGCTGAGGCAGGAGGATCACTTAGTTGAACCCAGGAGTTCAACCCAGCCGGGGCAGCATAGTGAGACCGCGTCTCTACCAAAAAAAATTTTTTTTTAAATTAACCATGCATGCTTGTGTGCACCTATAGTTTTAGCTGCCTGGGAGGCTGAAGTGGGAGGATCCCTCAAGCCAGGAGTTTGAGGTTGCAGTGAGCCATGATTATGCTACTGCATTCTAGCCTGGGCAGCAACACTGTCTCAAAAACAAAAAGCAAAAAACGGTATGTTTAATTAAATTCCAATTTTATTAACCAAGGGAGGACCTTTATGATCTGTAATTGTTTTATTATCTATTATTTTTACAAGTAAAAAATTTTTTTTCAGGCTGGGCGTGATGGCTCAGGCCTGTAATCCCAGCACTTTAGGAGGCTGAGGCGGGTGGATCACCTGAGGTCAGGAGTTTGAGACAAGCCTGGCCAACATGGTGAAACCCCTTCTCTACTAAAAATAAACTAAAAAAAATTAGCTGGGCCTGGTGGTGGGTGCCTGTAATCCCAGCTACTCGGGAGACTGAGGCAGGAAAATTGCTTGAACGTGGGAGGTGGAGGTTGCAGTGAGCCGAGATCATGCCACTGCACTCCAGCCTGGGCAACAAGAGCGAAACTCCATCTCGGGGGAAAAAACAAAACAAAACAAAACAAAACAAAACAGAGTTTCGCCCTTGTGGCCCAGGCTGGAGTGCAGGGGCACGATCTCGGCTCACTGCAACCTCCGCCTCCCGGGTTCAAGGGATTCTTCTGCCTCAGCCTCCAGAGTAGCTGGGATTACAGGGACGTGCAAAAAACAAATTTTTTTTTCAAGGGGTTATATGTACAACTGATACAAAGTTCAAAAAAACAAAAAGTTACTCAAGTAGTGTTTTGCTCCTACACTTGTACCTCAGCTAGTCATTTGCCTTCCTTGGGCCAGCCAGGATTACCAGTTTCTTATGTAACTTTACTGGAATATCCTGTGTGTGTGTTACTTATTATGTATCCTTTTCAAAATTTTGTAATACAGATGATAGCATACTATATACCCTGTTATACTTCTTGCTTTTTATAGCATATGTTGGAGATTATTGCTGTATTATATTACATTGCATGGATTGAACCATGATGTATTTAACCACCCATTTTATTTAAGATCATTTCCAATCTAACCTAATTGTAGTACTAATTCTATTTCTCTTATAAATGAAGTTAAACATCTTTTTCTATGTGAAAAGCCACAAATTTTTTTTTATTTTACCGAAGTCACTAATATTTCTTACACTATGAAGTCTGTTAATATCTTTTGCCCATTTTTCTGTTGGATTGTTCTTTATTGATTTGTAGGAGCTCTTTATATTTTAAGGAAATGAAGTTTTATAATATACATTACAAATACTTTAAAATTTTGACTTTTATCTCTTGATTTTGCTTGTTTTGTTTTACAGACTTGAAATTTTTTTATATCATCAAATTTATTCATCTTTTTTCCTACAGTTTCTTCTAGTACTTTAATCTTTTATTTTATGTTTAATTTTTGACCCTTCAAGAATTTGTTTAGCGGGATAAAGTTGGTATAGATCCAAGTTGGTTTTTTCCCCATATAGCTATTTACTAACTTTTATCCACTGATTTAAAATGTAATTTTTTACTGGGCGCAGTGGCTCATACCTGTAATCCCAGCACTTTGGGAGGCTGAAGTTGATAGGTCACTTGAAGTCAGGAGTTCAAGGCCGGCCTGGCTAACATGATGAAACCTTGTCTCTACTAAAAATGTAAAAATTAGCTGGGTGTTTTGGTGCGGACCTGTAATCCCGGCTACTTAGGAACCTGATGCAGGAGTATTGCTCGAACCCAGGAGGCAGAGGTTGTAGTGAGCTGAGATTGCATCACTGCACTGCAGCCTAGACGACAGAGCAAGACTCTGTCTCAAAAATAAATAAATAAAATGTAATTTTTATCGTAGAGTACCAAATTCCATTCTATGGGTAGTGGATTTATGAGTGATTTTTACTTTCTACTTTATATGTTTCTTTATAGTTTGCTTTTATTTTTTAAACCAGGAAGCAGTCTCACTTTATAATTAGAAAAAAATAAGAAAAGTAATCTGTTTGAACAATAATGGATAATAAAAGAAGCATCACAAATAAATAGATTAGTCAGTAAACTGTTTCAGGAAAGGTAGCTGATCATTTGGAAAAAATATTAGTTTAGTTTCCCACATCATACAAAAATAGGTAAATTCAGATTTATTAAAGATGTAAAATATGAAACTAGAGAAATTTTGCCTAGAAAAAAATCAGTAAGGAAAAGATCTAGAGTAGTATGTGGGTATTTTTTATAATACTAATTTGAATTGTATAAAATTATTTATCCCCGGCAATATCACTGGGAACTAGTTACTTACTAGGAACGTGTATGCACGGCACTTCTGTTTACTTTGGGGGTTTAGAGTAGGTACAATCCATTGCCCCTGGTTTTTGTGAGTTTGTAGAGAACTGGGGTCTTGGCTTTGTGTTATTTTGATAACTGCTAACCATTGTTTCTTTAGGATCTTAAGTACCAGGCCCAAGATAACTTTATGATGATGGATGATGCTGTCCTCTGCATGTGTTTCAGCAGAGATACAGAAATGTTAGCAACTGGGGCCCAAGATGGAAAAATCAAGGTATGGATTAGTGCCACAGCCTCTCATATGTAGACATTTTGAATGTTCTGCTATGGGGTAGTGTCCTACATATGATATTCAGCATAATAATAGCTACTGATTATTGAGCATCAGCTTTATGCTAATCACTTTACTTTTTCTTATGTAATCTTAGCAACTCTGTCTGGGTGATCCAATAACATATTTAAGGTCACATACTTGGTAAGTGATAGATCTGGGACTTTAGTTCATATCTGCTTATGCCCTTTCTATTGTACCACCCTGGCTTGCTGTATAAAAATCAAAATAACTAACTTTTTTTTTAAGGGGATGGTCTAATAGCCAATTTGTTGTGGTTTGTATTTAATGCTAGAAATACATCCTGGGCTACAGAAATTGCAGAAATGGTCTCTGCTAAGTGAACTTAGAGTCTATATTTTTGTTTTAATAATTTACAAGGAAAGAGTTTTAAGTTTCAAAGGATTCAGTTACCATTGTACTATGTGAACTAGACATCATATTCAGCTATTAGCGTGCATTTTTAATGCTGTTTCAGTACATTAGTGAGCATTGCATCTTGCTTGGCTCTGTGGGCTATTAATAGTAGGACACTTAACAAGGTTTTTTTAATTCTTTTTTTTTTTTCAAATAAAGGTGTGGAAGATTCAGAGTGGACAATGTTTAAGGAGATTTGAGAGGGCACACAGTAAGGGTGTCACCTGTCTAAGCTTTTCTAAGGATAGCAGTCAGATCCTTAGTGCTTCTTTTGACCAGACAATTAGGTAAGTAAAAATCCCAAAACTGCTCTCACTTGAGTTTGATATAATGAGGCCATGGAGGGAGGTACTAGTGATTCCTTACGCTTTTACCATGATGCTTTTACCATGATGATGTGATATGGAGAGGGAAGGTATGTGAGACCTTATGTCCCCAAAGTACAACTGACACTTGTTGTTGTGTCATTTGAGTTTTTACCCAGAAGAGACATTTGAAAGGGGGTAGCAGTGCTTCATGTTTCTCAGAGTATGGTCTTATGGACCTACCTGCATCATAATCACTTTAGAGGGTCTGTTATACTCTAAAGGACCCAGCTGAGACCCACTGATCTCAATCTCCTGCTAACTTGTTTTTTAGAGGTCTGTCCCTGAACAGAAGCTTGTGGTATTACTGGCATATTTTCTTCCAGCCTCTTTCTTTGCAAAGCTTTTGTTTGATTGTTTGATATAGTGAAAATTACACCGTATACACAATCACATAGCCCTCTTCACTTAATATTATAACATGAGCTTCTGTAATTTATCTAAAATGCATTCAATCGTTGGTCACAACCATAAGATATTAAATATTTATTGTTCTTTTCATTTACTTTCATTTGGTAGAATTCATGGTTTAAAATCTGGGAAAACCCTGAAGGAATTTCGTGGCCATTCCTCCTTTGTTAACGAAGCAACATTTACACAAGATGGACATTACATTATTAGTGCATCCTCTGATGGCACTGTAAAGGTTAAGTATTTGCTATCAGTTTATTTTGGGATGTCTACCCCATCTTTGTCCTTTGAGGAGTTTTCAGTGGTGATAATGGGAATGATTGTGCTGTAGTAAACCTCTTTCCTGGCTATTTTAGCTGTAATTGAGGTGAGTCTGAGACAACAACAGTATTCTGTGGGTAATTCCCATTGGCCTTGGGACCCCAATCTCAAACCTTTTCAATCCAAACAAACTTTATCATGTGTAGGAAAAGAGGAAGGGTGAAGAGTCCTAAACTTAAGCCATCCCCCATTCACAGATACACATGGTGGTTAAATCTGTTTTGCCATAGGTATGGTCCACCTGCTAACAGTCAAATTCACGAAAGTCTCAGTGGCCTAATAAATAGATCTCTTTTTTGTTGCACAGCCTCACTGCACTCCTGGTCCCCAGATTTAGGGCCTTCCTAGTAGCATTTATAGAGGAATAGGAGAGGTGTTGAGTAAAACTAAGCCTTCTCCTAGATAGTTATTTAATAAGTAATTTGCTGAAAGTAATGGATCTTCAGTACCTTTAAAGATTTAGTTATTTGAAGAGAGGTTCTCATTTCCTAGAAAAGATATGAGAAACCCAAATAGAAAATTATTAGAGATCTTTGAGACACTATTTACATTCCGGACCTAATCTTTTTGAATTGTCTTATATGAGTGAGTACTTTGTGGCAGAAGATCTAGACATTTTAATAAAACATTTTAATACAAATATCTAGATATTTTAGATACATATTTAAGTATCTAAAATTCAGACAGCCAGGGGTGGTGGCGTATACCTGTATTCCTAGCTACTTGGGAGGCTGAGGTGAAAGGATCACTCGAACCCAGGAGTTTGAGGCTGCATTGAGCAATTTTCTCACCACTGTACTTCAGCCTGGGCAACAGAGCAAGAACCTGTCTCAGTCAATCAATAAATGTATGTATATATATATATGTATATATGTCAGACCACCGTCTGAAATTGCTGTTCATGATTGGAAATCGAACTGGAAACCCGAAGGCAGGAGATGTATGCTCCCTTGGGATGTATGGGGAAATCACACAGAGCTGTTAGTACTTCAGTCATGGGATTTGCTCTCATGCTATGCATATGGGCCTCACAACTTGTAAATGCCACTGGAAGATGGCTTATCTAAGGTTCCTTATTTTGTGGTCTTTCCCCCTTAGTTCTGCAGTGAGTGGGGCAAAGCGTGTCACTGACCTTTTGAATGGAAAACACTGGAAGCCTTAGCGTTCTTAATTCCTGAAATGTTCATTTTTTCTTCTAAGCAACTGGGCTTCAGAGGAGATTAGGGCAGGCAATAACAGTGTTGACACCAGGGCAACTGTTTTCTCCTGTTTATGGGTATTTATTCAACATCTGCTTTCTGCTAAGCTCCATGGAAGGCACAGAGGAAACACAGCAGAGTCCATGCCTTAGAGACTTTGTACCTGATGAATTGAGTGGTATCAGGACAATGCTATTTAATGTTTGATCCATCCCTTCTCTAAGCACATCTCAGATTTCTGTGCTACCTGATTTAACCCTTTCAGTTCATAGAACCCAGAAGGATAAGGTGAAAAGATAGACCGGGAAAAGTAATGCAAGTGGCCAAGAGTAGCTTCCACTTCAAAGTTCCTCATGTGTGTGTGCTAACATTGTGACTTCTGTTCAGTCATTGTCAGTATAAACTGTACATTGGAATCATTTGTAGCTTTTTAAAAAATGCCTATGCCTCACCCTAGACCTACCACATCAAAATCTCAGGATAGAGTCTCAAGCTAAAAAGCCTCTATTTGAGCCAGGCTTATTGGCACCTGCCTGTAGTCCCGTACTCAGAAGGCTGAAGTGAGAGGATCGCTTGAACTCAGGAGTTTAACGCCAGCAGAGGCAATAGGGCAAAATAGCGAGATCTCATCTCTTTAAAAAAAAAAAAAAAGAAAAGAAAAGCGGTTTTTGTTTTGTTTGTTTGTATTTTATTTTAATTATTTTACATAGAGACAAGATCGCACTATATTGCCCAGGCTGGTCTTGAACTCCTGGCCTCAAGTGATCCACCCGCCTTGGCTTCCCAAAGTGCTGACATTACAGGCGTGAGCCACCATGGCCGACCCCCTGTTTGGTTTTGATATCCAGACAAGGGTAGCTTTCTGGTTGTTTATGACAGTAGCAGTGTTGACAAACAACTAATTTTAAAGAGAGAGAGCTCTATTGGCTAAGGAAAAATGTATGAGAAAAGATCATAGATTTTTAAAAGTTTTTAAGTTTTAGTTTGTGACTTTGGCTTTGCCAATAAATCAACAAATACATGATGAATGCTTACTCTATTACAGTTGGTCCTCTGTATCCGGAACATGGATTCAACCAATCACAAATTGAAAATATTTGGGGAAAAAAAAGAAAATTCCACAAAATTCTAAAAAGCAAAACTTAAATCTGCCCCATGCCAAGTACTACATTGAATCCTTACAAAGGAAGTGGTGTGCGGGCATTGTATTAGATATTATAAGTAATCTAGAGATGATTTAAAGCATACAGGAGGATGTGCATAGGTTATATGCAAATACATCATTTTATGTGTGGGACTTGAGTATCCTTGGATTTTGGTATCTAAAGGGGATCCTGGAACCAATTCCTCACAGATACCGAAGGAAAACTGTATATGGCAGTGCTGGGTATTTGATTGGACCTAAAATCAAGTAAGAAACTTTTTTCCCCTGAATCATTTCTATTCTTTTTTAGTAAACTGTTAATATTTTAAACCCTAAAACTTTAGAAATTTTTATACCTAAAAAAGGTTTATAACTTAAATTTCTGTGTGGTAGATCTGGAATATGAAGACCACAGAATGTTCAAATACCTTTAAATCCCTGGGCAGCACCGCAGGGACAGATATTACCGTCAACAGTGTGATTCTACTTCCTAAAAACCCTGAGCACTTTGTGGTGTGCAACAGATCAAACACGGTGGTCATCATGAACATGCAGGGGCAGGTGAGTGTTCAGAACGTACCCTTGCACAGGAACTGTGGGCCATTCCCAAATCAGCACTTCCTGGTCCAGGCCCACCCTCCCAATAACCAAATTTGGGTTCATTTCTCTGTAAACCGTTTAAGCTGTATTTGTTTTTCAGATTTATTTATAGCTCCATAAAACATCTGTTTGGTATTTCAAAAGTGATCTCCTTTCCCCTGGATGTTTGTATATTAAGCACTTTCATCCTTCGGATAAAGGAAGCTCCTATCTGTCTTTAAGCCTCCTTCAGAACCTCACTGAAGATTTTAAGATAACAGTGTTTGTCTGAGTTAGGGGGATACAGTGTAGTATGGATTACCAACTCAGGACATCTCCCAGCTACCACGATCTAAAGTGGAACACTAATAGGAGAAAGGCAGCAGCAGTGTCCTCGGTGTATTTTTAATCAGAAAACCTGCAAGGTTCTCAAGGAATCTCACTTTTGTGGACTGTGAAGTAGCACTGGGGGTGTCAGAAGCATCAAGTTTGAGGACCCAAGCCCTAGGTATGTATGGTAGTGCTATTGGATTATTGGCCTGGACACTTGGGGATCTTGCTGACCATAGAGAAGACCCAGGGGCTGGTGTGTAGTACTCTCTTTCCATTCTTTGAGTTCTGTAACTGATGGAGTAGTAGTTGAGAATCCATAGCTGAGATGGCTGGTCCGCAGTATCTTTTGGGCCACTGCATAATAGCTACAGCTGCCCAGTGCATCTGCTGAGCACACTTCACAGTTCTGTGCTTGACTTTTTAAAATACTTTATTTTGAAAAAATAATTTTAGATTCACATAGAGTTGCAAAAATAGTACAGAAGAGTTCCTGTGTTTCGCTCTTCAAATTCCTCCAATGATAACATCTTATATAATGATAATACAATGATCAGAACTAGGAAATTGACATTGGTACAGTTATTAACTCTATTACAGATCTTATTTAGATATAACCAGTTTTTACATGCATTCTTTTTATTTATTTATTTATTTTTAAGCAGGGATATAATCATTCTGTAAAGTTTCATTACATGTATAGAGTCATGTAACCACCATTACAATCAGGATACAGAACTGTTTTTTTTTTTTTTTTGAGATGGAGTTTTGCTCTTGTTGCCCAGGCTGAAGTGCAATGGCGTGATCTCGGCTCACTGTAACCTCCGCCTGCCGGGTTCAAGCGATTCTCCTGCCTCAGCCTCCCGAGTAGCTGGGATTTCTAGTAGAGACGGGGTCACTCCAAGTTGGTCAGGCTGGTCTCGAACTCCTGACCTCAGGTGATCCACCTGCCTCGGCCTCCGAAAGTGCTGGGATTACAGGCGTGAGCCACTGCGCCTGGCCAGGATACAGAATGGTTTTATTCCCAAAGAAACTCTCATGCTACATCTTTATAGTCACGTCTTCCCCATAACCCTAGCCCCTGGCAACTACTGATCAGTTTTCCATTGTCATAATTTGTTGTTTTTTAAAAAATAGACTTTTAAGAGTAGTTTTAGGTTCACAGCAAAATTGAGCAGAAAATACGGACGGTTCCCATATTTCTTCTGTCCCTCCCACGGGCACAGCCTTCCACACTATCAGTATCTCGTGCCAGAGTGGTACGTTTGTTACAACTGATGAACCTGCATTTGGTACATCATTAACACACAAAGGCCATAGTTTACATTAGGATTCACTCTTGGTGTTGTATGTTCTGTAGGTTTGGACAAATGTATAATGGCAGGTGTCTACCATTAGAGAATTGTACAGAGTAGTTTCACTTCCCAGAAATTCTCTGTGCCCTTTCTGTTCTTCCTCCTTCCCCACTAACTTCCGGCAACCACTGATCTTTTTCTGTCTCCATAGTTTTGCCTTTTCTAGGAGGTTATGTAGTTGGAAACATAAAGTACGTAACTTTTTCATTTTGACTTCTTAATAAGATGCATTTTTCTCCTTGTTTTTTCATGGTTTGATAGCTTATTTTTTATTTTTATTTTTATTTTTTTTTTTTTTTGAGACAGAGTCTCGCTCTGTCGCCCAGGCTGGAGTGCAGTGGCGCGATCTCGGCTCACTGCAAGCTCCGCCTCCTGGGTTCACGCCATTCTCCTGCCTCAGCCTCCCGAGTAGCTGGGACTACAGGCGCCCGCCACCACGCCCGGCTAATTTTTTGTATTTTTAGTAGAGACGGGGTTTCACCGTGTTAGCCAGGATGGTCTCGATCTCCTGACCTCGTGATCCGCCCGCCTCGGCCTCCCAAAGTGCTGGGATTACAGGCGTGAGCCACCGCGCCCGGCCTTATTTTTTTTTTTGAGATGGAGTCTCACCTTCTCCCCCAGGCTGGAGTGCAGTGGCGCAATCTCAGCTCACTGCAACCTCCGGCCCCCGGGTTCGAGCGATTCTCCTGCCTCAGCCTCCCGAGTAGCTGGGATTACAGGCGCCTCCCACTGCACCCTGCTAATTTTTGTATTTTTAGTAGAGACAGGGTTGCACCATCTTGGCCAGGCTGGTCTTGAACTCCTGACCTCGTGATGCACTCGCCTCAGCTTCCCAAAGTGCTGGGATTACAGGCCTGAGCCACCACACCCGGCTTTTTTTTTTTTTTTTTTTTAAGTGCTTAATAACATTTATTTATCCAGTCATCTACCAAAGGACATCTTGGTTGCTTCCAAGTTTTGGCAATTATGAGTAAAGCTGCTATAAACATCCATGTGCAGATTTTTGTGTGAATATGTTTTCTATTTCTTTGGGTAAATGCTAAGTAGTGTGATTACTGGATTGTATGGTAAAGTATGTTTAGTTGTAAGAAACTATCAAACTGTTCCAAAATGGATGTATCCTTTTGTATTCTCACCCTTGGTGAATGAGAGTTCCTGTTACTCCACATCCTCACCAGCATTGAGTGTGGTCAGTGTTCTGGATGTTGGCCATTCAAATAATAGGTGTGTAGTGGTATCTCATTTTAATTTGCATTTCCACATGTAGAAATCTTTTCATATGCTCATTTGTCATCTCTATACTTCTGGTGAGGTTTCTGTTTCAGGTATTTGACTCATTTTTCAATGGGGTTGTTGTCTTACTGTTGAGTTTTAAGAGTTTTTTGTATATTTTGGATAATAGTTCTTTATCAAATCTGGTTTTTACAGATATTTTCTCCCAGTCCATGGCTTGTCTTTTCATTTTCTTCCTTTTTTGTTTTTGAGGCAGGGTCTTGCTCCATTGCCCAGGCTGGAGTGCAGTGGCATGATCATAGCTCACTGCATCCTTGAGCTCCTGGGCTCAAGAAATCTTCCAGCCTCAGTCTTCTAAGTGGCTGGGACTACAGGCACGTGCCACCATGCCCGACTTTTGTGTGTGTGTGTGTGTGTGTGTGGAAATGGGGTCATGCCATGTTGCTGAGGCTGGTCTCAAACTCCTGGCCTCAAGTGATCCTCCCACCTTAGCCTCCCAGAGTGCTGGGATTACAGGCATGAGCCACTGCATCTGGCCTCATTTTCTTGACAGTGGCTTTTACAGAGTAGAAAATTTTAATTTTAATGAAGTCTAGCTTATCAGTTATTTCATGGATCATGTCTTAGGAGTTGTATCTAAAAAGTCATCAAACTCAAGATCATCTAGATTTTCTTTTTTGTTATCCTCTAAGAGTTTTAAATACAGTTTTGAGTTTTACATTTAGGTCTGTGATCCATTTTGAGTTAATTTTTGTGAAGACTGTAAGGTCTTTATTTTATTGTGTCTAGATACATTTTCTTGCATGTAAGTGTCGAATTATGGCATCTCTTGTTGAAAACACTATCTTTTCTCTATTATATTGCTTTTGCTACTTTGTCAAAAATCAGTTGAGTGTATTTCTGGGCTTTGTATCCTGTTCCATTGATCCAATACCACACTGTCTTCATTACTGTAGATTAGTAGTAAATCTTGAAGTTGGGTATTGTGAGCCCTCCAACTTTGTCCTTCTCTTTCAACATTGAGTTCGCTATTCTGGGTCTTTTGCCTCTTTGCGTAAGCTTTAGAATTGGGTTGTCAATATCCACAAAATAATTTGCTGGGATTTTGATTGGGATTGTATGAAATCTGTAGATTAAGTTGGGAAGAACTGACATCTTTACCATATTGAGTCTTCCTGTTCATGAACATAGAATATCTCTGTGTAGTTCTTTGATATCCTTCATCAGAATTTTGTAATTTTCCTCATTTAAATATTGTATGTATTTTGTTAGATTTATACCTAAGTATTTTCACTTTGGGGCTGCTAATGTAAATGGTATCATGTTTTAAATTTCAGGTTAATCCCAAGCCCTAACCCTTGGCAACCACTGATCTGTTTTCCATTATTATAATTTTGTCATTTTGAAAATGGTATAGAAATGGAAGCATATAGTATGTAAACTGTTCGCCTTTTCAGATTGGTTTCTCTCAGCTTGGTTTATGATGATTTTAATGTATCAATAGAGCAAGCAAAGTCTTAGAGACTGAGTGTCATCCTGTATGGGGAAAGCTTCTCATTCTGTTAGAGGAAACTGGAGAGCAGACATCCAGAAAGCTTTGAGAAATACTGGTATATTGATTTAGAAAATTGTTTTTTGTATGGCAATGAAATTTGCTTAAGGGTAATATGTCTCTTTAGGGCATGATTGGTGACGTGGGATGTATGAATTCTAAATTTTTGTCTGCCACTTAGTTTAGATTACTTATCTATTGAATATTTCCCAGGCAAGGGGAGTTAGCACATGATGAACAGGACTGGAGATCTAATTACAAATGATAGTAAACCAAAGTGCAAAATAACAACGTAAAAATGTCAGTTTAAAATGCTGCACATGGTTGAGCTGCTACTAATCCTGATGTTTTTTTCTTGGGGTGTGGTGTGATCTAGATTGTCAGAAGCTTCAGTTCTGGTAAAAGAGAAGGTGGGGACTTTGTTTGCTGTGCCCTCTCTCCCCGTGGTGAATGGATCTACTGTGTAGGGGAGGACTTTGTGCTCTACTGTTTCAGTACAGTCACTGGCAAACTGGAGAGAACTTTGACAGTGAGTATTACTTACTAAGTTCATCTAAAGAAATATGGTAGGACTTGTGTCTTTCTGAACTCTGAAGTATGTGCCTTTTCCAGAGCTATCGATGTGACCCTCAGTATAAAATATGTTGTTTTAAAACATTTAGCTCCATGTCAAATTCAAGAAGTAAAATTAATGTCAGCTGCTATGATGATCCCCAAATCTCGGTGGCTTAACACTATATAAGTTTGTTTATTTTTATTTTATTTTATTTTATTTTGAGAGGGAGTCTCACTCTGTCACCCAGGCTGGAGTGCAGTGGTGTGATCTCGGCTCACTACAACCTCTGCCTCCTGGTTTCAAGTGATTCTCCTGCCTCAGCCTCCCAAGTAACTGGGACTACAGGCACATGCCACCACTCCTGGCTAATTTTTTGTATCTTTAGTGGAGACGGGGTTTCACCCTGTTGGCCAGGCTGGTCTTGAACTCCTGACCTCAAGTGATCCACCCGCCTCTGCCTCCCAAAGTACTGGGATTGCAGACATGAGCCACTGCGCCCAGCCTAAAGTTTATTATTATGTCACAATGTGATGTGAGTTGGAAAACCCTCCTCCATCTTTCTCCTATGCCATTTGGAATATGTGGCCTCCCAAGATCTCTTTTTCCCTTCCACCCACCTCTGGAAGCCTCATCAGAGTGATTTATTGCAGATCTGTACATCCTAACCCTGTGCTTTACATGTTCCAGGTGCACGAGAAGGATGTGATTGGTATTGCACATCACCCTCATCAGAACCTGATTGCTACCTACAGTGAAGATGGACTCCTAAAGCTCTGGAAACCATAATTCAACTTTTCTTTTTAAATCAGCTCGAAAGCATGTACTTAAATGAAGCATATTCATGTAATGTGCTTTTTTTTTTTTTTGCCAGCTTTTCTAAGCAAATAGATTGTCTGAATTAGTCACAGAATAATTTTGTGAAAATTCATGTTTAAGTAGCAACTACCCTTTCTTTTTTTATATATTTTTAAGGTATTAGTTTATCTTCTTCTAACTGGTGCAGTCACTTAATGTTTTCATTAATCTTCGACCTGGAGAGTGAAATACTGATATTTCTAGAAAAAAATTCTACTCCTCTGATTATTTGAAATGCTGAGGAAAATGTCCCTCCCATAGTAAAACTTGTAAATAAGGAACTATATCATATTCAGTAGCTGTGTTCTGTTCCATCTTTTTTTTTTTTTTTGAGATGGAGTTTTGCTTGTTGCCCAGGCTGGAGTGCAGCGGCACGATCTTGGTTCACTGCAACCTCCGCCTCCCAGGTTCAAGCGATTCTCTTGCCTCAGCCTCCCGAGTAGCTGGGGACTACAGGTGTGCGACACCATGCCTGGCTAATTTTTTTGTATTTTTAGTAGAGATGGGGTTTCACCATGTTGGCCAGGCTGGTCTCAAACTCCTGACCTCAAAGGATCCACCCGCCTTGGCCTCCCAAAGTGCTGGGATCACAGGCGTGAGCCACCATGCCCGGCCCATCTTTTTTTTTTTTTTTTTTTTTAAAGATGTTAATAAACTTTATACCTTTCTGGAGACTTTGTTCTAAAATGTACATAAATGCTCATCTAGTTAACATATTTACTTAGAATGTGGGAGGAGGAGTCACATTATTATCCCTGAATCTCAAGTACAGCAGAAGTGAATTCCTGGGATAGTAGGATAGACTAACATGTAAAAAGGCCAGGTGATGCATAGGTTCTCATTTCACTGCCCTCAGCCTTCCTCTCCTTCTGAGCTGTGCCTTCTCACATGTTCAGTCAACTCCAGGGAATATTGTCTCCATCTTCTGGATAGAACTAGTTGCAGGATCCGTTACAAGAATTCAGAGTTTTGGCATCTCCCCTTTGTATGTTGTAGGAGAAGGTTTGGCATTGAAAATGTGCTGTTGTTCCAAAGAAAAATTAGCAAAGGACTTGAGATTTAGAAAAGTCTCCTTTGTAATGTGCATCATTACCAGTTATCTAAAGAAAAACATGTAAAAGCCAACAAAACCCTTGAAAATATTTTGCATATGGATGTCTGTTTCACGTTTCAACTGAAGATGTATAGAGCACCTCTGATGATGAGGAAGATACCATGCTAGGCAGTACTTTCAAGAACGTGAGTTCTTATTTCTGCAGGCCTTTTGTGCCCCCTTTTAAATGTTAGCATTTATTAGGTACAAACTAGTGGGGAAGGTTTTTTTAAAAAGTTTTGCAGTCTTGTAATTTACCTTTTTAAAAAATTTATTTTATTTTTCTGAGATGGAGTCTTGCTCTGTTGCCCAGGCTGGAGTGCAGTGGTGCCATCTCAGCTAACTGCAACTTCCACTTCCCAGGTTCAAGCGATTCTCCTGCCTTAGCCTCCCAAGTAGCTGGGACTACAGGCGCATGCCAGCATGCCTGGCTAATTTTTGTATTTTTAGTAGAGCGGGGGTTTTGCCATGTTGGCCAGGCTGGTCTTGAACTCCTGACCTCAGGTGATCCGCCTGCCCTGGCCTCCCAAAGTGCTGGGATTACAGGCATGAGCCACTGCGCCCAGCCTTGTAATTTACCTTTGATGGTGACCTGAAATGCAGTATGATCCTATATGTGGCACGTAGTAATGTTCAGTGTTTGCTGAATTAATTCTGGGCAGCACTAAGAAATCCCTCTTTCCCAGTCATATTCTATAACACATTTCCCATTTGCCACAAAACCTGCAGCTTTTTGGTCCAGGTAATGACATTTGCTGCCATTTTGATGATTTAAAAATGGTCGTGGGAGTTGAACATAGTCATGAATTCAGGATTCCTGAGCATGTAGACAGTCATCCCAGTGGAAAGACACGTTCACTTAAGAGAAGTTTAAGTTAGAGGAAACAGTTTATGCTAAAAAAATTTTTAGAAAAGTCCTTGAGAATTTTTGATTTAGTCTTGACCTCATGAAGCTGGTAGTTATGATGTGCATAGTTTGTATCACCGTTTATGAAGATGGAGAATCTAGTCAGCACGTGTTGGTTTATTCTAGGAATTTTTAGGGAACACTTCTGTTGCTGGCACCAGGTGATGAATATGGTTAAAAAAAGACTCGTTTCTGCCTAAACATAGGGAAGAAGAGCAAATTAAAAGGAGTAATTAAAACTGATAAAAGCTCAAGTTACCTTTGTGATGATGAGGCGGGCAGTTAACGCGAAAGGGTTGGGAAAGGCTTCCTGGAGGGACTAGGGGGCGGTCTAAGCACAGGGAACCTAACCGGGGACTCCAGTGTGGCACAGCGGCAAGGTATGTGCTGGGCAAAATGATAGGTGTCTTGGGAGACCAGGCAAAGAGAGCTGGATTAGGAGCCGTTAAGTATATATTTTTCTTCTTTTTAAATAAAATAATGCACTGGGTGAACATGTAAACGCTAAGTTGAAAATCTGCCTTTCCCAGGTAACCCTTGTTAATCTTTCTACAACTTCATTTCGTACAAACCTGAAAAACACACTGATTTTGTCTTTAAATGGGCACACGCTGCTTACACTCCTCGGCGCCTAGCCTTTCTGAAGCCCCACGCGGCCGTCCCTCCAGCATTGAAGGCTGGGGCAGCCCAGCTCCCCTCCAGCGCCCTTACAGCCAGACCGCGGCGGGGTCGGGCCGCGCACGCGCAGGGCGGACGGCCGGATCTGGGGCGCCGCTGCTCCGGGTGGTCGGAGGTAGGAGTCCCATCTTGGGTCCAGGGCCGGTAGAGCCCCTTACCGGGGGTAGGGAGACTGCGCACCCGCTAGAGCCAACTGTCAGGGCCTGCAGACGTCGGGTGACGTCACTGTTACAAAATTGGCGGTCACATCGTCTTAAGGGCCGGTGGCAGCGGCTGCGCGAACGGGAGTTGGCTGCCGGGAATCAGTGCTCACTTCCTTCTGAATTGGGCGTGTGCAGTCGGTTCCTAGGGAAGTGCTCTGCTGCAGCCACCAGATTTAACGGATGCTGCTCTCTAGCACTTAACATAGAAGCTAAACTACCTGGCGTTAAAATTAATTCCATGAGCATAAGGACATTTGTCCTATCCCCTATTCTGCTGTTGAATTAATGACTGGAAAACATTGCGCGGAGGTATTTGGGAGTAGTATGGCTTTTTTTTTTTTTTTTTTTTTAACAGCAAATGGTATAAATCTCAGGTACAATTCAGTATCTTCTTCACCAGTTGTTTTTTTTCAGCATGTATTATTACTACCACTAACGGCCTCTGTTGAGCCCTTCCTTGCTATGTAAGCAGCCATATTTAATTCTCAGAACAATGTAATGAGGGTGCGCAAATGCACATGAAGAAACAGGTTTCCAGACGTGAGGCACCTAACTCAGTCCAACTTGCACGAAGCTCGCATTGAAAACCAGATGTGACTCCGAAGCTAGGTTTTTTTTCTCTCTTGCCTCACTCTCAATATTGCTGTCAGTTCCTCCTCAATCTTTAGGTTTGGGCAGGGACAAAGAATACATGGATTGTTCCTCCACATGCTGCAAACACATTCACCTAAGCAGAGCACAGGTAGTGAGATGAGTAGAGAGAACTGAATTAGAGGATTCTGGATGTCAGTCTTTGCTGTCACTTCTTTTGGCTTGTGCTAGAACAGTGGTTCTTACAAGTGTCACGTGATAGACACATTCTAAGGTCCTATCCCAGACCTACAGAATCAGAAATTGGTGGTGGGGCCCAGCAAGCGTGCTCAAATTTGAGAGCAGGTAGACTACAGGGTAGTTTCCGCATATACAAAAGGTGTTTTAATTCTTGCTGTCAGTCTCAGAAGTTTCATGCTGAGATAACCAAATTTAAATGATAAAGGTGCAAGACTGACTCTTAAAATCACATTTTTTCAAATTGCCATAGCTTGCTAGTGTTCTCATTCACTGTGCTTTTACAGCTTCATTTTCCACTATTTTAAGAGAAGAAATTGCTATGAAGTGTATGTCCAAGTGAGGAAGTTCCCTGGTCTGAGGTTGTTTAAAACTTACAATAGGCCGGGCACGGTGGCTCAAGCCTGTAATCCCAGCACTTTGGGAGGCCGAGGTGGGTGGATCACGAGGTCAGGAGTTCAAGACCACCCTGGCCAACATGGTGACACCCTGTCTCTACTAAGGATACAAAATTAGCCGGGCATGGTGGCACACGCCTGTAGTCCCAGCTACCTAGGAGGCTGAGGCAGGAGAATAGCTGGAACCCGGGAGGCAGAGGTTGCAGTGAGCTGAGACTGTGCCACTGCACTCCAGCCTGGGTGACAGAGCAAGACTTGGTCTCAAAAACAAAAAACAAAAAAACCAAACTTGGAATAGCAAGGGCTGCCCATTATTTAACCTTCCACGGCAATTTTAACAGTGGTATTCTGTTCCAAGTGGTTAATATTAAATCCATGTGTCAGTGTTGGTGGCTTTCAACCTTGGCTGCGCATAATCATTTTGATGCTTAGGCTACACCCAGCCGAGTTATACAGAATCCCTGGAGGGTGGGACCTGATGAGTGTTTTAATGTTTCCCGGGTAATTCCAATGGTAGCCAAGGTTAAGAACCAGTACCGTACGTACAAAAAAGTTGAGAAGCTAATTTCACGTACAGAAAATTTGCCACTGTTCCAAGAGCACTCTCAAGCGACATAATTGGCCTCTACTCCTATTCCCTACAAGTATGAATGGGCAGGAGAAGCATCACAGAGAAAGCAGAGTTAGTGCTGGAACTTGTATTTTTGTGGATGATGACCTTGGTTAATGTTTTTTCATAGGCTCTGTTTCATAGGCTTTGTTTTTTCATAGGCTCTCCCTCATTACATTGTTCTGAGAATTAAATATGGCTGCTTACATAGTAATGAAGGGTTCAACAGAGGCTGTTAGTGGTAGTAATAATACAAGCTGAAAAACTACACAGACAAACCTATCAGTTTCTGCCTCTTCAGGATATAACTATTAGGTTAGTGCAAAAGTAATTGCGGTTTTTGCCATTAAAAGTAATGGCACATTACTTTTGCACCAACCGACCTAATATGACTTTCTTTTAGTGTTCTTAGGATTTTTAATTGTAAAACATGTAACAAATTTTCCTAAACAATTGTGCAATTCAGTGGCATTATTTACGATGTTACGCAACCACTATTGTATTTCCAAAATGTCATCACCCTAAACAGAAGCCCTGTAACATTGTCAATTAACTTCTCCTTCCCTTCCCCTCAGCCTTTGGTACTGTTTCTGCCTCAATGCATTTGTCTAAGTTTAGTTCATATAAGTGAAATTATACAATACTTGTCCTTTTTTATCTGGCTTATTTCATTTAGCATGTTTTAAAGGTTCATCCATGTATCAAACAGTAAAGTGCTTCATATTTGGGGGAAGTATAAAAAGTATTCCTTTTAATGGCTGTGTATTTCACAGTGTATGTACACATGTATATTGAGAATTGAGAGATTTGTAGGTACACATTAACCATTTGTTGGTGGACAGTCAGGTTTCCACTTTGGGCTGTTGAGAATGCACAGTAAACACTGACCATACGAGTTTTTTTTTTTTTTTTTTTTTTTTGAGACAGTCTCCCTCTTGTCGCCCAGGCTGGAGTACAATGATACAATCTTGGTTCGCTGCAACCTCCACCTCCTGGGTTCAAGCGTTTCTCCTGCCTCAGCCTCCCAAGTAGCTGGGATTATAGGCGCCCACCACCACACCCGGCTAATTTTTGTCTTTTTAGTGGAGACGGGGTTTCACCACGTTGGCCAGGCTGGTCTTCAACTCCTGACCTTAGGTGATCAGCCCGCCTAGGCTGCCCAAAGTGCTGAGATTAGAGGTATGAGCCACCGCGCCCGGCCTTCATTCGTTTTTAATTCCTTTTGTATAGTCATCCCTCAGTATCCATGGGGGTACTGGTTCCAGGACTTTCCATGGATACCAGAATCCGAGGGTACTCAAGTCCCTGATATAAAACAAGATGGTTATTTGCATATAACCTACACATCCTGCGTAATTTAGCCATCTAGCTCTAGGTTACTGGTAATACCTAATACAATGTAAGTACTATGTAAACAGCTGTTATACTTTTAACAGCTGAAGTCTGTACATGGTCAGGAAACAATTTTTCCCAATTGTTTTTGATCCAAAGTTGACTAAATCCATGGATGTGAAACCCAAAAAGGAGGGCCAGCTCTGGGTCATGTGGTAATTCCATGTTTAGCTTTTTAAGCAGCTGCCAGACTTTTCTACAGCAACTGCAACATTTTACATTACCACCAACAAAGTACAGAGGGTTCCAATTTCTCCATATTCTTATTTTCCATTTTTTGGATTAGAGCTATCCTATTAGGTATGAAGTGGTATCTGGTTTTTATGTGCATTTCCCTTATGACTGACAAACGCTGAAAACCTTGTGTGAGATTTGTAAAAATTTTTAAGCGTCCTATAAACAATGCTTTTTTTTTTTTTTTTTTTTTTTTGAGACGGAGTCTTGCTGTCACCCAGGCTGGAGCGCAATGGTGCAATCTTGGTTCACTGCAACCTCCGGACTGGGTTTGAGCAATTCTGCCTCAGCCTCCCGAGTAGCTGGGACTACAGGTGAGTGCTACCACACCTGGCTAATTTTTGTACTTTTAGTAAAGTACACCACGTTTTCACCAAGTTGGCCAGGCTGGTCTCAAACTCCTGACCTCAGGTGATCTGCCTGCCTTGTCCTCCCAAAGTGCTGGGATCACAGGTGTGAGCCACTGCCACCATGCCTGGCCTAAACAATGCTCTTAAATGCATTAAAATACAGGTTCAGAGATTTTTAGAATTTGTACATAAACCCAGTGAAAAGTGAAATCTGTCACAAAGCACTT